>NC_000006.12:155525335-155676850 GCF_000001405.40 Homo sapiens
GGTTTGAAGCACACTTTAACTGATTCAGTAATTTTAGGGGCGCTGGCTGTCAGGAACATAATTGGTTCCTATAAAATTCTATTGCTAGATTACTTGGTTTGGGAAAATTGTTTCCCGATAGGCCATTACTCTTGCAAGGATATCTTATCCAAAGAGAGAAATGACTGATCAAACTTATAACAACTCAATACAGTTAAGTGTAACCTTCAAAGTCTTGGGGTAAACTTATTTATAAAAAAGGAGCAAAACATTATAGATAATTGACTATTTAACTTACCCTTGTTTGCCTCCATCTGTGAAAGGAGCATCTTTGATGGGTTGAGAGTACTAATTGTATCCTAGACTTGCTCATCCCCAACACTGAGGCCCTGAGTCTGTACCCTGACTTGGGGGCTGAACTGGAGCAACTCTTTGCTCTGGGAGAAGAGTTAAAAGGAGTTCACAATGTTCAGGCCCAGCTGTCTTTTGGGAGAGATGTCTGCACTGATTATGGATCCAAACATCAGAGAGGAAGTGACAACTTTTCAGAATCCTTGATTCGAAGTCAAGAAAGCCTAGAAGAACATGCAAGACAACATTCAAGCAGAACCCAGGGATACTATGCAGAAAGTCTTTCAATTTGAATACTTTACTTATTTCTTTACTCATGTGTGTATTTATTGAATAAATAGGTATTAAGGGCTTGTTTTCTGTCAGGCACTGTTCTACGTACTGTGTTTATAGCAATGAAAAAAAAAAAAAAAAAAAAGAAAAAAAAACAGTAAAAAGTCCCTGCCTCTGCAGCTTTACAAATTCTAGTAGGAAACCCTGGAAAGTTTTGAGTAGAGGTGAGATGTAACTTGGTTTATGTTTTAGGAAAACCTCTCTGTCTGCTCTGTTGAAAATGGATTGCATTTATTAAATAGAATGGACTGGTGGACTATCAAAGACACCAGAGTGAGGCCTTCTTTCTGTCCATTTGAGCTTAAGAGTATAGCGTCTCAGACCTAGTTGCTTAAGACTTTAGAACGGTTCACTCAAAACAACACTTTTGATTGACCATCTTATAATAAACCCAATGGTGGAGGAAACTCTTCTCCTGAAGCATTCCTGAAATCTTACCTGAGTAGACCTCTCTTCATGCAGGGTCTCTGCAGGCTGAATGCCTGGTACAGACTACCATAGAAAAGCCTTCCTAAAAATTACAGTAGCTGCTAAATGTCTCTTGAAACTTCGTATCAGCATTTTATTAAAAATTCAGGTCTTGATCTCTCAATATATTAACTTGCATGAGAAATGGATTTGGGGATTAAGGGTAAAGAAGCTAACATTTGTTGATAGCATATAATGTGCCAGACTCTTTATGTACATACTTTCATTTAATCCTCATACCAACAATGTGTGGTGCAGTAGATATTGTTATCCCTAATTCACAAATGTGGAAAATGAGCTCAGAGTGGTTAAGTATTTTCCCCTATCCCATGACTTGACAGTGTTATGAACAGGACTGGGAGACCCAAGATACCTCCTTCTCACAACATAGCTGCTGCTGCTGTCACGTCAATGATGACTACTACTGTACACTGAAGGCACCACTATTTAACTACTCACCATTATTACACCATTTCAAATTAAATGAATGTACAGATTTATGACTTTTGCAACCCTTGCAATTCTGTTATTAGCCTATAATTGAGATCGTTCAAGCATCCTCCATCTTGAATTGCTTGCTGTACAATATCCCTGCCAAAAGTCTGGCTGGCAAAGTTGATAGAGCAGCATAGAAACAACCATTGTCCATTAGGAAGGCTACCTTCAAAAGGACAGAAAATAATAAGTGTTCGCAAGGATGTAGAGAAATTGAAACTCTTATGTACTGTGGGTGAAAATGTAAAATGGTGCAGCCATTATGGAAAGCAGTGTGAAACTTCCTCAAAAAAATCAAAAATAGAATTATCATATGATCCAACAATCTTACTTCTAGGTATATATCCAAAGAAATTGAAAGAATGATTTCACAGAGATATTTGTGCAACATTTTCATTGTAGCACCATTTACAATAGCCAAGAGGTAGAAGCAGTCCAAATGTTCGTCAATGGATGAATGGGCAAATAAAATGTGGTATATACACAGAATGGACTATTATTCAGCATTAAAAGGAGAAAATTTAAAAAGCACAAATACTGTATAATTCCACTCATATGAGGCATTTAAGATAGTCAAAAGCATAGAAAGAAAGTAAAATGGTGGTTGCCAAGGGTTGAGGGAAAAGGTGTTTAATGGGTAAAGTTTCAGTTTTGCAAGATGAAAAGTGCTACAGATATATTGCACAACAATGGGAATGTACTTAAGACCACAGAACTATACACTTAAATGGTTAAGATGGTAAATGTAATCGCATGTGCTTTTTACCGCGATAAAAAATATTCAAGGAAGAAAGGTTATCTACTGATTAGTACCTAATCACCATTGCCACTTGAAAATCCAAGACAAGAATTAGCAATATATTTTTATCTTAGTTGACAGTAGGATCTTGGATAATTAATATTTGTTGGTGGTTTATTTTTAGGGACAAGAAACATCATTATAGATGCTTCTCCTGTATCATCTCTCTTTCAAACAACTGATATTTGATGGTGTATCTAAATTCATTCCTTTTGGTATGATATGGCTTTCTTTTGGCATTGGTGGTATTTTAATGGGCAAAATAAGTAATAAGGCACTTGTTATTTAAAAATTAGAAGTGAGCATTCTAGTCATCCATTTCTTCAAATTTTCTAAGCTCTACCCTTCTTCCAAGTTAGGTCACCCAAATGCTATATGCCTGGAGAATATTAGTGTTTCCCTTTCTGTAGAAGTGGTTCGACAAATTCCCAATACATTAACATGTTTTTGACCTTTATCCAGGGTCAATCTAAGAAATGGCTTTATGAAGAATACCTCTCTATCATTTGTAAAATTGCTATTAAACACAATGTTAATTTATGTTTCTTATAAAACACACTTGCATTCAATCTCTCTGATTTTTTTTATTTTTTATTTTTTAGTTTGGGAATGTTTGTCTATTTTTCTTATGTGACTATATTCTTCATTTATTATAAAATGAGAATGATATCACCCATTCTGTTTTCTCTTTACCTAGCCTCTAGGAAATCCAGAGTCTATGTTTATATGAAATTTAATAATTATTTAGCCCAGATTTCTGGCATCATTACCAACATCATCACTATTAAGCATTACATCATTGCTTTGTATTTCTTTGTGAATGAACTTTAATCCTGTTACGGATTTAACTGTAATTTCTGAGCTTGTATTCCTTATCAAACAGCAGGGAAGTCTCCCAATTTGTCATTGGAAGGCTTTTCACTTCTGTGCTATTACCTATTGAAGCATTTCTCAAATGTTTAAAAACTGTCCCTAAAGGCAGAAAGAATGAATGAAAATCCTGAAGGGGTTTGGGAGTGTATCTCAAGTAGCTCAGTGCTGGCATAATATTTCTTTGTATTTTATGTTTTATCTCCTCCAAAAACACATCTGCATTTTTTAGAGATAAAAAGATAATTTTTAAATCACTTATCAGTCAACATACTTACCTTTTCCTTTTTAAATCTTTGAGTAAAATTAATACTCAAGGTAGATGTACTATTTTTATCTTGTGACTTTGAAACCCCTTTGATTCCTGACACTAAATGTAACACAAGAGAGACATTGAGAGCTGAAAGTAAACCTGCAAATAACCTTTCCCAATCCCTTCATTTCCTGTGTAATGAAACTTGGGTACAGAAAAGTTCAACCAAGATCTCCCAGAATAGATTTTGTTTCTGGTCTCCTGGGCCAAAGGACTTCCTGTTACATCACATGCCTCATTCTATGGCCTTGCAGCCTAATGAATCATACAAGAAGGCAGGATCAGATGATCTGCAGCTCCCTTTCCAGCCCTACTATTTTGTTTTTGTGCTTCTGAAAGCCATGACTACACTGAGCTCAATAATATAAGTGGAGTTAAAAATAATTAAAGACGTCAATAGCTGTCATGAAGATGCCCAATATTGTGTAAAGTAGTTTGCATCCTAAACACACGACTCACATGAGAATATTTTGAAGGATGCAGCAATGCTCCTAGAACACTCTGTACACAGAGGTGGGTGAAAGTTTGCATTTAAATTTCAACGTTCTGTTCACCTCTATTTTTATATCAGAATGTAAATGTCACAAAGACAGATATCATCAACAGGGGGATATTGTTTGTACGTATCAGTTTCTGGATATAGATTCAGGTCCCTGAGTTATTATTCTTTAGTTAGTGCTGTCCAATAGAGCTTTCTGGGGTCATGAAATGTTTAATATCTGCTCTGTACAGTATGGTGGCCACGAGCCTCATGCGGCTATTGAACACATGAAATGTGGCTAGTGCAACCAAAGATCTGAATTTTATTATTTATTTATTTATTTTTATTTACTTATTATTATTATTATTTTTTGAGGTGGAGTCTTGTCTTGCTCTGTTACCCAGGATGGAGTGCAGTGGCACGATCTCGGCTCACTGAAACCTCCGCTTCCTGGGTTCAAGTGATTCTCCTGCCTCAGCCTCCCAAGTAGCTGGGACCACAGGCGCCTGCCACCTCACCCAGCTAATTTTTGTATTTTTAATAGAGACAGGGTTTCATCATGTTGACCCGGCTGGTCTCCAACTCCTGACCTCAAGTGATCCACCCGCCTAGGCCTCCCAAAGCGCTGGGATTACAGGATGAGCCACTGCACCTGGCCTGAAGATCTGAATCTTAAAAGTTAAGTGTAATAAATGTAAATAGCACATATGGCTTCTGGTGACTGTATTGGACAGTGCAGCCTCTGGGTCTTATAAAAGAGGAGAGATATAGAATTGGAGGAATGAGGTGATCAACTTTCAAAACACAGATACGAAGAACAGGCAAGTCATTTTCTTTTACTTCAAGTCTTTCCAAAGATATCAAATTAATCATTGTTAATCATATTAAGAAATATCTCAGGAGAGGAAAAATATTTATCTTTTTCTTAAAAAAAAGACAATTTAGTGACAGTCATAAAATTAACTGCTTTAAAACGGGGGAAAAAAGTGAACACTAATGCCATCTTGTGGATTCTGGATGCTGGGACATGCTCAGGTTTTGTGAACGTGTGTTCAGTGACAAGCCATGAAGTCCAGAGAGTAGTCACATTTGCCTTTCAGTTATATATTTTGAATGTGTTTGCATGAATTATAGCCAGAGGGCTTCAAAGAATATCCACACATTAAAAATCAATCTTGAAAAAATAAATAATCTTTTATTCTTGATTGACTTGAATGGCTGATAAAGGATGGGCAACTATCTGAATTCAGTAACAATGAGTTTTTGAAAAAAAAAATCATAGTTGGCGCCTGTTTGGGTTCATTTCTATAACAATAATTTAAAACATTTTCCCAATGTCTTCCTTTACCTCTTTAAAGTATCATGGAAAATAAAAAGGAGATACAAAAAAGTGCTTAGAAATTTTCAAGATCCTTGAATCAAAACAGAACTATCTTTCTATATTTTATATATCTGAAAATGTTTTTGATTGTCATGTATAGTTATATTTGCTTCATCACATACCAACACACACACACACACACACACACACACACACACACACACTCCTGCAGTTATTCAGTTCCCTTTTCTCATCTCATATTCCTGTCATTAAATGAGTTGTACGGCCCTCTAGGACAAGAACTCTGCCTTTGGTACCATAGTGCTTGTCAAATATTAAGTGTAATTTACACTTATTAATTGATTTGTCTTCTGGATCTCCTTCTGCTAAGGCTCTCACAGATACTCTCCTGGCACAAACAAGGATATAGGAATTGTTTTTATCCTATAAAATGCTTATCTGATAAAGTTAAAAGGTAATAAAAATGATTTTACATACATGATGGCGATAAGGAGGAAAAATCCTGCACGTGTAATTATGATGAGGCATAAGGAAGAAGAGATGATGATGTATACTTTTTTTCTTTCTATCTGGCCCAAAATGGTGCTGATGATTTGTATTGGAGACATCTTTTAAATATAGTATTAATAAATAGACTTTAAATTATTTGTTTGGAAATTTAAATGTCATCATTGTGTTAGGGTGTTCAATAAGCCTAAATTTGAAGGGAGGACATTGTAATTAATGATGAATTCAGAATTCTGAATTTAGAATTCTGGAAATTTAATCTAGAAAGTAATAAATCATGTGTATTGATGTATCCATGAGGCAGAGATTGAAGAGAGGAGAGGAGAGGAGGGACATCAGAAGCTCAAGCATCAAAAGATTATTTGTCTCCAAAAAAGAATTTATTGGTGCTATAAAGTGGAACAGGAAGACACAATACTGTTCTATAGAAAGAAATTGAGGATTTTGAACATATTGTGATGAACATAAAGTGCAATGTGTGCTGTAAAAGATAAAAACATCAAGTCTGAGGCAGCAAGTCCAATAGAAATGGATTAGGAAGAGTAGCTAAAGCTGTAATAAGAGACACGGTCATTTAGGTTCACCGGTGGAATCAGGAGAAAAGAGCTTCCTAGATCATTGACATAAAAAGAGACTAGAAGGCTTAGCTTTTGCTGGGAATAGGAGAACATATAGACCCAGAAAAAGATATCTGAGAAATAAGAGACAAATCAAGTGTAATTCTCAAGATATAGAGAAGACAGCAATATTAAAGATACTAAAGCTGACAATAATAAAGTTTACCATGTGAAAACCAGGATCATTTCAAATGAAAGGAGAGAGTTCTTTCCCTGCCTTATATCCTGTTTCAGGAATAAATTTATTTTCCAAACATAGGTCAATAAAATAATAGTAACAGATTTTAAAGGTTTGTACACCAAGAACTTAAAAGGAACATAACTTATATTGGGAGACATTCATGAAAGGAAACTCAATGTTAGTATATGTAAATTCATTTTTTTTCCTGCTGGAATAAAAGTAAAAATGGTAAAGGCAGTGAGGAAAATTTATCTTTATCATATATGTTTAAAAGAAAAAAATTAATCATTTCATTTATGGCAATATGGCAGACTAGATGATTTGAAAACTTACCTGCAACTAACATCTAGACATGTAGGATAACATATAACAAAAGTTATTCGAAATATAGAGCTGAATTTGAAAGAAAACATGATATAGTGGCCAGAAAGTAAGAAGGAAATGAAAATCACTCTAGTAAGTGTGAGCTGAAACTGTGTAACCCTGGAGTATTTGACTGTCACAGAAACACTTGTATAGAGATAAGAAAAATTGGGAGTTAGCAGGGAAGAGAGGTGGAATTGATATAGATTATAGCGTCATAAAGCCAAGACCCTTAAAGGGCTATGTGCTTAGTGAAACGTAATCTTAGAAAAGTTCTACATATCAGCTCCGAAAGATGATGAAGATGATTGTGTGTCTCAGACTCAACCCTGGGAATTAATAAACTTAGGCATAGCTTCACAGTGATTTGGGGACTGAATTTAGATTGTCTGTATTGTCTGGAAACCTCAAGTTAAGAGATGAACATAAAATGACTCTAGGCTGCTGATAGTCCTGGGACTCCTCGCAGAGAAAAAAATCACAAGGAATACTTTAAAAATCCAGATGATAAGATAGATATTTCATTGATAAAGATCCTATCAATCATCCAAATAATGAACTCACAATACAGTATTTCAAAACTCAAGACAAAATAGTCCACCATGTGCAAAAGTCAGCATATAAAATAAAGAATATTATACATTGAGACTTTGAGATAAAAGAATTGCAATATAAAATAAAATATCAAATAATTATGTTTAGTGTATATAGAGGTGTTAAAAATGTTAGAAAAGGAAATTAATAGATTTTCGTGAAATTAAAAATATACTATTTGAAATAAAAAATCTAATAGGTTACCCAGCTGAACATAAAATTAATAAACTATAAGATATATTTGAAGGAATTATTCAATGTTAAGCACAAAGATAAAGAGATGGAAAATACAAAAGAGAAGAGACATGGAGAACAGAATGGGAAGTTTCAACACCGTAAACAGGAGATGCAGAAGGAGAAATTATTGAGAATGGCAGAGAGGTAATATTTAAAGTTTAAAGACTTTCCTGGTTGAAGACTTTCCAGAATTGATGAAAGACATCAATCTTCAGATTTAAAGCATACAGTGAATTTCTAGCAGGATAAAAGGAATTTCATATCTAGAAAGAGTTTATTTAAAAAAGCAGAACACCAAAAAAAAAAAAACACCCTACAAATTCATACCGATTTAGATTGTCTTCACACTTCAATTGGCAACAAAAGCAAGCAGAAACAAAAGAAACAGGATTTCAAAGAACTGAGAAATAGCTTTCAACTAGATTTCTATACCCAGCTAAATTATGGTTTAAGTGTGAGATCAAAAAAAATTTTCAGACAAAAAAGACTAGGACAATTTAGACTTGGAACAAGACTGAAAGAAATATCGGGCCGGGCGCGGTGTCTCACGCCTGTAATCCCAGCACTTTGGGAGGCCGAGACAGGTGGATCATGAGGTCAGGAGATTGAGACCATCCTGGCTAACATGATGAAACCCCGTTTCTACTAAAAATACAAAAAATTAGCTGGGCGTGGTGGCGGGCACCTGCAGTCCCAGCTACACGGGAGGCTGAAGCAGGAGAATGGCGTGAACCCGGGAGGCGGAGCTTGCAGTAAGCCAAGATCGCACCACTGCACTCCAGCCTGGGCGGCAGAGCGAGACTCCGACACAAAAAATAAATAAAAAAAAATAAAAAATAAAAAATAAAAAAAAATAAAAATCAAAGAATGGAAATATAGAAAGAAGAATTGCATATTCAAAAGGAAGGTATGGCAATGATAAGTCAGCAAAATGTAAACATGAGTGAAATCATAAGAGGGTGATGATGATTATGTGATGATTACCGTACATGTTAAAATTTTAAGGTTAATCAATAAGAGAAAAGAAATAGAATGTATGTATGTGTGTTTGTGTGTATTTGCATAAAATAACCATTTTTCCTCCTAAAGAATTCAGAGCTACTCCTATAACAAAACAAACTGATATAATAGAAAAGTGACATGTTGCATTCTGTTTATATGACCATTATTACATTTTTTAAATTTTATTTTTATGTTTCAGATTGCGTCTTAAAAATGGAAACATTTCCCTACGTATGCAAAATAACATTATTACATTTAGTAATCATTCCATTATATCTCTTCATACCTGTTATATAATGAAATTTTGCTTACCTGTTACAAAAATGTTCTTTGGAGCTGATTTCATTTTTCCTAAGTAGAATCCAGTCCTTACATGATACCTGGTTATTTTTTTCCTAAAGTTTCTTTTCATCCACAATGGCCCCTTTGTCCTTGACACTGATTTCTTGAGGAAACCAGGCCAATCTCCCCGCATCGATTTGCTTATTGCAACTTTATGGGTTCTGATGATCTTGTTCTTTTTTTCATGTATTTACTGCAAACTGGAAGCTAGAAAAACAACTGGTGAGTTCAAGATAAGTCTTTTTTTTTTTTTTTTGCCTAGACTGTATTATCAATGATGTCATATATTTATTAAACTAATAAGCATATTAATAACTTGTTGGTCCACCTTAGCAATGGTTTAAAGGTGACAAGCTCTTCATTTTACAGATGTATTTTTCCTTGTGACTGTGTAGTGCTCTTTTGGTATCATAAATCTGTTTAGTTCCCCAGTAACAATTCACTTAATAATAATTGATAATCTTTGCCTGAATAAAAAGCTTCATTTTAGAAGTGATGGTTTCTAATCCAATAATTTCTTCTAAATATATTATTTGGCATTCTTCTAGAAAGTAGCACTTTTTGCTTCATCAGTTGAGACTATTTGGTTATCTTAAAGTTCTTGCTTGAAAAGCAGAGTAAATGCTTAGTTTTTTCTTTTTATTTAACACATTTTTAAAGTAAGGAGTTACTTTAAGAGTGACCTCAATTGATAACAAATGCATTTTTTGACTTTCTCTTTTTTGAGTGTCATTATAAAGACATGGACTTTCATAGATGCCAAGGGGTTCATACAGCTGCAATCATTATTCTTTTCAATGCTTAAATTGACACAATTCTGGCCATTCAAGAACCCTTCAAATGGAATCTTATGTCCTTTTCACAGACCCCATGTATCTTGGAAGTATTCTAGCACACAAGATACTCCAGTCTCACATTATAACTTATTTACTCATAACTCCACTCAGCCATTTCCCTGCAAGGACCCGTTTTCCTTTTAGTCTTGAATTATATTAAAGATCATAAGCTGATCCATAAGGAAGATCATGACTACTCTTGCTACCATTCTCCTCAGCCATTTGAGTAGACAATATGAAGAAGCAGTTACCAAGCTTATTTTATATTCACCTTCTTCCCCTTTTTCTCCCATTTTCCCTTTATTGTGCTACATCTACACTGTCATATAATATTTATGTTCTTACAGCCAACCATATCCCTTACTGTAAAAGCTATCACAATAAGTGTAAACAGACAAAACTCACCAGTTAGAGCACAGAGATTCTCTCAAAGAGTTGCCTATGTGCTGTTACAAGTAGCAGTTCAAAAACATAGTTAAAAGAATGAGAGTAAAGGAGGTTACACATATATACAAGGAGAACACTGGGGGAATGTAGTATACCTATGTTAATATCACATTAAAGCAAAAACATTAGGAATAATGATAATTATTACATAATAGAGGAATAATTCTTGTGCAAAACACAACCATTCTGCAATTGTACGTAGCTAGCCACAAATTTTATGAAGTGAAGTTGTCAGAATTTCAAGAAGAAATTTGCATCTACAGTCATACAGGAATATTTTGACATGTGTCTGGGATATTTTAACATGTAAGGCAAAAACTTACTAAAACCATAGAGATTAAAATAAAAACTATAAGCAAGCTTCAGCTGATGGACATATATGGTATTTTGCAGACTATAGTTAAATAATGGACTTCCAAACACACATGGAGCATGTTCAAAAATATCACCTACTATGCCATAAAATTGTACCATCAAATACCAAAGAATCAGTGTCATACAAATGACGTTTTCTGACTGATAAAGTTAGAAATTGAAATCAAAGTGGTCAAATACTAAATATCCCCTTCTAAATGACTCACAAAACAAAGCAATTACATATTAGAACTTGCGGACTGCAAATCAATCATTTCTTAGGAGGAAATGTTCAGCCTACGACTATGTTTATTAGAAAGATTAAATGTGAAGGATCAGGCAGCCAACTCAAGAAGTTAGAAAGAGGAAAAGTAGGTTATGTAAAGAAAGCAGAAAGAAGAAAATAATAAACAAGTTCAAAGCTTAATAAAATACAAGACAAAGTTTAATGGATAGCATTGATGGAGGTATAAACACTGTTCCCTTTAAAAAGACTAACAGCATAGAAGACCCCCAGGCAAGGATGATCAAGGGAAAATAAAGAACAGACAAAAAAACAAAACAAAAAAAATTAGGAGTGACAAAGGGCATGTGACAATAGCTTCAGTAGGCGATAAACACTGTGTGGATCTTGCCTGTGGCTGTGTTCCGTGAGTAGCCCAATCCCTGGCAGAGTGGGTGCTGCAATAAGACTTGTTGAAAAACTGCACATGAAGCAAGCATCCTTAACTCCTCTGGCATATTAATCACTAGTATATGAAACAAATTAATTTATTAGATTTTTTCCACATGGAAAAAAATGATAATAGTAAGGGAGAGAATAATTTTCTAAGGAATAAGGTGGTGGTTTTAGGAAGATTTAACAATAAGGGACAATACAGGGCCAAAAAGTCAAAGTGTAGTATAATTGAGCCTCTGCATATCTTCTTCATGAAAAATGCTTTTTGGGGTATCCTACCCCAAAATGGGATGTTAATGAGCTTTCAGAGATTCAATCACTCTTTTAAAGCAGTAGCTCCACGGTTTTCTTTAACAAACAAACTGAATTTACAACAAAGAATGATATTTTTAATAATATAGTGATACATGAAAATAGAGACACACTCTTCTCCAGTAACAGGTGCTTTGAGGACTGTGTCACTGCAAAGGTTTTAAAAAGGGAAAACTGTATCACAGAATTGCATGCACCTTCAAACAAAAATATTATTGAAGGATATTCCCTAAAGATAATTTTTTTCTTTCCCTAATTGTTTGAAGTGTTGCCAGGTTCCTGGCAAAAAGAACATGAAAGGAAAATACTGAATAACATACACAGTATACATATTTATAACACTTCTATACACACACACACACACACACACACACACACGCCTCCTTCTAGTGCTTATTGCTGGGAACAAATGTGATATTAAGTGAGTATTGATTGGATATAGTCTTCCTGTCCATTGTGAATTTTATATTAGCAAATCAAACCATCTTTGATTGTTCTCCTAGGAGGCTGATCCTTACCCAAGTTTGATTAAGACAAGTCTGATTACATGACTTTTTCCATGTGGTCCTTTAGATAAACCCTGATATAGAAAGTACCCTGCTTTATTTTTTTGGCTCAAGAGATAGGACAGAATAGGAAAACGTATGTCTGTCACAAGCTACTGGGGGAAAAAAGTCTTCAGACATTAAAAGCATTTATTCTCTTGATGTTCTGACATTAGTTGTCAAGTGACTAGCTCCCGATGTTATAGGCATAAGAACTGAGAAAAGCAAATCAAAAGTTATTGTTGCACTAAACTCTCTAACAAGATGTATTTGAAGGTGGAATTCCGTGGTAGGAGGGCCACAAGTGAAGCCCAATAATTAAAATTTCACAGACTTTCTTTCAGTTAAATAAAATTTGCATCTTGCACAAATTAATTGGGATTTTTTAACAGATGGAGCCGGATCTGGGGTCAGCAGAAAGAGTTTTCAGTTGATTGATGAGACTTGATGAAAATTTCCTACCTCCTTTATAAAATACAAGAATTTCACAGAGATGATTTGGGTACATCAGTGTAGCTCAGGCCTTAACAACAGGCACAGGCGCCAGAGTAAAATACATTAGGGCCCCTTCAATGTCTTTTCTGAATCACCTGACGCTGCTCTCACTGGAAGGTGTTTTTCTCCTTCTCCCAATGTGTTGGCTAAGTGACAACACAATGGAGGTGAATTTCTCTCAGTGTCGCACTAAACATAGCTGATGCATTGTATAATTTAAGGACATTTATTTCAGCTTTGTGAAATAAGGATCTCAGAGTGGCATCTGTGAATAGACTTTCTTGATTTGTATTAAAACACATTACACCCAACCACCACATTAGGGAGTGTAAAAATCCTGTCTTTGTCTGTCATCTGAATGAGTTAAATTTGTATGAGGTTTTGCCAGAAATGTCTTAGGCACTCTAGATATTTCTTCTTAAGAGACACGGATTGTATCTTTTACAAGGCTTGAAAAAAACCCAACTTTAACATGCTTCTTAAAGATGGAAAAGATTGAAGGTAGAGGCAATTGCAGACACCTATGGAGATATTTTTCTGAACATTTCTCTGACATACCTACTCAGTTTGTTGTCCTTTGGTGACCTGCATTGTGGGCTGTTGCTCACAGCAGTGGTTGAATATACATTTGTCATTGAAGGGACTAAAAATCCCCAAAGTGTTACTGGCCTGGGTGTAATGAAACAGACAGCTGAACTCGAACTGATTGAAATGCAGTCTAGCCTACAGCTACAGGCACAGTTAAAGACACAGGCATGGCAGTGCTTATAAATTGACTTAGCTTTTAACACTGGCTCCATGGCGTGCCTACCATCCTTGTACGTATGGGGCTTGCTGAACTTGAGATTATACTGAGAATGACATTCACCAGGAAGAGCTTAACAACCAAAAAGATTTCCACCCCATCATCAACATAAACTATGCATGTTTACACATTTTGAGTCTATGCAGATGTGTTTGTCTACTCATGCATACACACAAAGACATAATGGCTCTGGAAAGTGGAGGTCCAGGGGCAAGAATGAATAATAATAATAATTATTTTTTATCAACTCAACACAGAATCTTCATCAAATCAAGTTCCATGTGAGTAAGGCATATGTAATTTAGGATAAGGGTTAGAATTCTATATTGGCATCTGAGATTTGAAATTAGGCTTTCTTTGCCTAGAACATATTGGACACCTTCAGTTTCTCATCTCCAAACAATCTCTCCAATGTCATCTTCACTGACTTCCTTAAAGTGGGGCATTGTCGTGAAAAACAGGCAAGGCAACTGCTGTTATTATAACAAGAGATTTCCAGAGTTTGACCACAGTGCAGTGGGGCTTATTTCCCAGTGTCGTTTTTAGATGTGGTCATGCAGTAATGTGACTAAATGACAGTTTGACTTTAGAAGGGATCTTCATCTCTTCTTCGATCTGCCCCCAATACCAGATGGACGATTCTCCATCATTCCAAGTCCTTTGCATGTGTAGTCACATAAAATGTGTACTAACAATGACATAAAGAATGCATATGGATATGCAGGCCCAGACAAGGCACTATTTCTACCTACTCCGGATTGAAAAAAGAGGAAAGGTCATCTGAAATCCGATAGAACAGGAAAGTCAAATTAGCAAATAACAGACTGGAGTGCCTGGCTGGTTAGTTTGAGACACCTTTCATTGTGTTTGGATGAAACACATGTTTCATGGTACTTTATCAGCTAGTTAGCAAGTTGTCCTTGTCTTTTTGCATGAGAATCATGGAAAGACTGAGACCATGACTCAAGTCTGAAGAGAGACATGGAACGAACAGCATAGACAGAGGGAAGGGGAAGAGCTCAGCCTCCTAGGTTTCAGTGTGTGGGCCTCTGGGCACAGACTTTGCATGAAGAGTGCTTATTTCAAGTCTAAAACGCATAGAATTAGAAACTGGATAAAGTCATACATAATTCCATGTTGAAACATGGTTTCTGAACATGTTTTCAAATAAGAATGTTATTTTTCCCTTGTGCCTCTGGCACTTTTATACACCTTGCTTCTTCCTTAAATCAGAAGAAGGGAGGGAGTGAAGATTTTTTTTTTTTACAACATTAAGCATTGTTTACTTCTCTAGTTACCTTTCTAATTAGACATTAGCACAGTTTACATGCAAATAAAGCAACTATACAGGTTTATGTGTGAATCTGCTTGTATTTGTCCCTGTAAATGACTGCAGCTAATTTTGGTAAATAATTTATATTGCACTTGAAGGCATAAAATGAATTTACAAATGAGAAAAATTAAAACAATTGTTTCACACCCTCCGACATTTCTTCAAATCTTGAATTTGAAGGTTTTTATATCCCTGGTTGTCCTTAATTATCCTTGCATTGTAATAATTCTTTTATAAGGAACTATCAGAAAATCATTTTAATTTTAAAAATCATATTGATGACACTGGAAATATGTTTTTATATTCTGCATTATGAATGTTGCTTTGGAAAATATCCTATTATTGCATAAGCAACATAGTAATTGAATTTCACATTAGCAACTGTAATTTAGCCATTTGCTTCAATTTTGAAGACTTAAGTGACCAAATACTCTATTTTTCTCAATTACCCCATGTGAAATGCAACTCGTTTAGTGTGTGTATATGCGGGAAATCCTTTGTTGGTGATATGGTTTGGAGGTGTGTCCCCTCTAAATCTCATGTTGAAATGTGATTCTCAATGTTGGAGGTGGATCCTCGTGGGAGGTGACTGGATCATGGGGGTGGATCCCTTGTGAATAGTTTTAGCACTATCCCCTTGATAAGTGAGTTCTCTCTCAGTTATTTCACAAGAGATGTGATTGTTGAAAAGAGTGCATGACCCCCCCCATTCCGCTTGCTTCCCCTCTTGCCATGTAAAATACCTGTTCCCACTTTTCCACCATGATTCTAAGATTCCTAAGGCCCTTGCCAGAAGCCGAGCAGATGTTGGAGGCCATGTTTGTACAGCCTTCAGAATTGTGAGCCAATTAAACCTCTTTTCTTTATAAATTACCCAGTCTCAGGCATTCCTTTATTGTAACTCAAGAGCTGTCTAATACACTTGGATTCTTAAGATAGAGATCCAAACACAATGATGATAACTAATTAATTAAGGATCCAACAAATATTTACAGATATTTACATACTGAGACCAAGCAAGTTCTTGAAGTTATGCATCTGGGTAAATACAAGCCCTACTTTAAAGGACCTCAAAATCTACAGGAAAGGCAACACATAAACACTCATAGTATATGATCAGATGAGCTATATAAGAGAGGTAATCATCAGAGGCTCTGGCAGAAGAGTGGAAAATAAACTAAACACACAGTTAAGCAGACAGGGTTAGAGCTAGTCTGGAGCCTGTCTGCTGGGCTTTGGGTCTCACCTCTCCCGTTTACTAGCCTTCTGACAGGGCTCATGCCTATAAATGAGGCACAGATAATAGCATGTAGCTTGTAGAGTTGTTGCGGTAATGAAAAAAATGAGATAATATTTGAAAAGCACTTAGAGTAGAAATCATGAAGCCCTGGAATATAGTGCTTTTAAAGTGTCTATTAAATTAATTAATTCTGTGACAGAGTTGGGGGTTAGGTAAGGAAATCTTCACAGAGGTGACGTGTTAATTGAATCTTGAAGGATGGGTGAGAATTTGTCATTGTAGATAAGGAGGTTGATCAGATGGGCAGCTTTCAAGGATGCCATTCTATATGGGATGCTAACACATCACTTAACAATTAAAAGATTGTATTTATTAGAACTCCTCCCAGGGAGAACACTGATTGTAGTCATAAGGAATGCTATGAAAAGCTGACTGGGAAGAAGAGTAAGACTCCCAAGGGCAATGCTCGTGTAACAACAGATGGCCACTAAATGGCTTCCTAGGAGACGGGTCTGCTTAACTACTAGATGGTTATTCGGATGAGCTCTTACCCCACAAAGCTTTCAGTCTTTTCTCTGGATTAATATCAATTTGACACAGTGCCAATTGCTAGCTTGCCTTGAAGCAAGGTTATGTGGTTATCCCAGGCAGGGAAGAGCCTGTGTATAGGCCTGTGTATATGCGGTGAAAAAATTCAGTGTGGGGTATAGAAAGCATCTGCAAGAGTGTCAGGAGGTGATGATGGGAAGACAGATGGTGCCATGGGGTGAAGGGCCCTAGACACACATGAATGAGTTTAGGCTCAATCCTTTAGCAATGGATAGCTATTGATGGACTATAAGCTGGGGATAATGTAAGTAGTGTTGTATTCAATACGATGGCTCTGTCTAGGAGGCGACTGGAGGCAGGGAAATTCTACAGGAGGCTTTTAAAACAGTCCAGGAGCTGAATCTGAAATAAGCCACTGGTTGTGGGGATGAAGAGGAATTGGACTCAAGGATCAGGAGAGGGCAGCAGATGTAGACTTTGGTGACCAAAAGATGCAGGAGGTTATTTTATTATTTCTATTGTCATCACTATTTATTCTTTGTAAAAAAAAAAAAAAAAAAAAAAGTAAAAACTCATAATAATACTACCAAGCCCTACCAAGGAAAATCTGAATATGCAAGTTGGAAACCAGGGGTAGCTTTTGCCACATCAGAGCAGTCTTGGCACTTGGGTATTCCAAGATATGCAGATTTCTTGAAAGAGTTCAAATCAATTACGAACTATTGTTACTCAGAAATGTAATTATTTACAACTTCTCAAACCCAAGCTTAATTATTAATAAATATTATGTGTGTGTGCTTTTCTAGGAAGAAATACTCAATGCAACCTCCTTCATCATAAAAGATAAGCCAACATACAAACAAAGAAGAAAATTATACAAAACTCGATTCCTCTTTTTTGGGGGGGGCTTCAATTATGTGAATGTTTCATTGGGATTTTATTTATGTCTGTCACTCCTATGAATTCCTTCTCCTGTCCCCTTCTCTGAAAGGAATTTGCAGAAGTCTACATATTCTTTGAACTTTAAAACCCTTGGCTTTCCAGTAGCTTAATTAAGAATTCTTTAGCTTAAGTAGGTTATATATATCTTTGTTCTATCCTAATTGGGCTGTGAGCCAAGTCTCTGAGCATTTCTCGAATAACATTTCTGACATATTTTTCATTGCCACTTCATTGTAACTCCTCTCAGCCTTTCTGTCTACTCTACGAGATGAATGAGCTCTGCCTCCAACAGATTTCCTGTAGGAAAGATTGGAACTTCTTTCTCCCTTATAAGCCATATAGTCTCGTATGAAACAGAAATTTTTATTGAACTCAAAGCAACTAAGGAAAATATGTATAACATTGTGTTTGGAGCATTGAAATAATATCCAGCCTAAAACCCTTTGTGTGAAGAGGGACTTCCTTGATACTAGCTTTTTAGATGCTCAGTGAACCAGCGTTGGCAGTTCCAGCTGGCTCAGGCTGCCAATGAAGAGGCCACATCAAAGACGTGGAACTCTTTTAACTTGCTGCTCCTCAAGAATGAATTTCACAGGGCAAACTTGTAAAGGCAGAAATAATGCCTCAAGCAGCCCCTGTGTTTCGGTAGATCCCAGGAAAAGAAATATCTTCTCTGGGATTGAAAACAATGAATTCACTTAAAATAAAAAGGGAAAGGGGGAAGGCAAACAGTGTTTATTGACTAGCACCTACTACATGATAATATTTGATTCCCACAGAAAACCAGGGAGGTGGATGCCATTCTTTCCATTTCATAGTTGAGGACACAGATTCCCAAGGGATAATGTGTTCAAGATCACCAGCTGGTAAGCGGAGGAATTGGGATGAAAATCTTTTTACATGATGCAGAAGGCCACACTTCTACTGACCCATACTGTCTTGTCAGTTTTCTTTTCCTCTGACTTTTAAGAATTTAATATTTAAATACGATTTTCAAAATGTGGTAACCATAACAGGGAATATCCACATTCCTAATGCCCCTCTTTGCTAAAAGTTTATAAGTCAATTACTTGGAACTTGAAACAGGTTTTGCAAACAAAACAAAACAGTGATTAAAAAAAGTGGTGAGATTTCAAGGCTAACTCTTTCCTAACCTCTAGTTTGGGTCTTAAAATTAAGATACAATTGGGAGAGGACAATGTGGATGGGGAGAAGGAAGAGGATTCATTTCCTAAGGTTGGGATTAGCTCTGTGTAAACTGTTGCAATTGCTGAAGTTTTTCAGTTGGCTTCTTTTTCTATTCCTTCTTTCACCATTGACCACTCTCCTGGTGTCGTGTCTCAAAAGGCCCTTGTATCAGTTTAAATCCAGTTGGGAGAGAGAAACCGCACACTAGATTAAAGAGTAGAAATTTAATGTAACAAATTATTAAGCTATGATAAGAGACTAACTGTGACGGTGTAAAGAGAACTCTAAAGGTCACCCTAGGGCTGAAGAAGAGTACCTCAGAAAGAACAAAGTTAGGAATACCCCTTCCCCAAAGCTGGAGTTGAGACCTCATTGCAAAAGCTGTGGTTGCAGCCGCTGGACGGTGGAGAAGCTCTCTGGATGGCCCAAGCCTGAGCTGGTTCAGTCATCACTGGGAAAACAGGAAGCAACCTTCTGCAGTACAGGCATGTCAAGGGTGTTCTAACTGTCTGCAGTGTGGATGAGGCAGGGCTGGTGGGCAGGTATACAGAGGAAGATGAAGTGCTGTTGAAAGCAGGAGGCTGGGAGTGTGTGGTGCTTGCACTGGATGGATTGAAAGGAAGTGATCACTGGACTCAGGCCAGGGCTGTGAGTTCACCAAGGGACTGTGAACTCTGAGGCAGAGCAGCACTAAGTGTCCTGCAAATACCTGCAACACCATAGAAGCAGCAAAAATCCAACCAACCAAACAACCAAGCAAAAAACCCAGGACACAGAGCCAGCGAGAGGAGCCCCTTTCTCCTGCAATGTCCCTCAAGTGCCTTCTACTGACAGAGCTTAACAACAGGCTCCATAAAAGAGAAATGTTTAGAGTCTAGTCCTTTATCCTAGCACAGGGACTGAGGGGTGAATGTGGGGCTAGAAGAAAATAAATGGGCAACTAGCCCACTTCTAATCAGGGAAGGACAGTCAGATTTGACAAATCACATTCCCAAACCGCCTATTTTTCTTCTTATAGATACAATAGTCTTCTCCCTCAGTGAAAACAATTTCACAGGAATGCCAGTAAAGAAAAAGCAAATTAATGTAAATAATTTTATTTTGGTAATTGTGAACGGCTGATCACATATCATCATCCTGAATGTGTCTTTTTTGTTGCTATATTGTCAGTTATTAGCATAGTGCCTAGCGTGTAGTAGATGTCAATAAGTATCTGTTGAATGAATGAATCCCAGGAACATTTACTCTTATACAAAAGAAATATTAACTATTAGTGATAATCTATAAGTGGTAGAATTTTGGATAATGAAAATAAGTGAAATGAGAAAGGAGCTAGGCAAGTAGCATAGGTAAGAGGAATAATTTTGGACAAGTGAACAAAGAATTGGTTTTATTAATGGGCAGAGGGTGGGTGGGTGTTGATATTTGGAGCAATTCCCTATCTTGCCTCTGTGATCATAGCTTCTTCCCTTCTTCTCTTTTGAAATTACAGATTCACCAGGCCTTCCAAATTGCTTTGCTACATGTTTCTGAATATAGAGAGGAGATGGGAGGATCCTCTGGGCTTGGGTTTGCCAGCAGGAGCAGTAGGGATTATTTTCTTGATTAGGATTAATTTTAATTGGGGAATTGTCTTCATTAGCAGAAATGAGTAAGTGCCTTATTGAGGCTGTGTGAAAATCTGGTTCATGTCTATATTTTTCACTTTCTTCCTTTGTCACCTAAACATGATTTGAATTTTGTTATTGCCAGAGGAATCAGCAAGGCTCAGATTTATTATCTGTGTATGTGTCTGTCTTTTTACTAATTTATTTATGATTATGCACCTTTTTGAAAAAATGATTTAAAGCAAACATAATTAAATCACATAAAAGATTAATAAAAAAGGCCAAGAAGAAGGACTAGAAACACATAAAAGGGGAAAATGACACCAAAAGTTAAAATAATACAGCTACTGTGGAGAATGAATATTGTTGGATGCCATATGTTGGGTGCTTCGAATATTGGTTTAGTTTGAACAATAATTAATTTGTGAGCTAAATATCTAGAATCAGACTCTCACTCTGCCACCTGCTCGCTGGGTGATGGCAATCACTCTTCTGGAATCCCAACCTTCTCCTCTAAAACAGAGGCAGCATTAACATGTTACTGTGATGATTACAAGTGCCTTTGTATGGGAAAATGTTTTGTGACGACATTAGACACGTTTGAGATGTTACTATGAGGGAAGCGATCTGCACATGCTTTTCATGTTTAAAAGGTGGGTAATAAGACTGGCATTTAATTATGAAAAGATAAACTCATATTTGCTGGCCACAATAGTGGTAATCCAGTTGTTCCCAGGAGGACTGTAGGGGTATCTAGGCTTAGTGTCCAAATGTTCTCAAAAGGGAAATGCCTGGCTGGATGCCTGGCTGAGACTCCACAGCTCACAACCACAAAGTATAAAAGAGTTAAAATGACCTAGATATTTTTAAGAGCAAATATTATTAATCAATTATCAAATCCAAAAAGAACCACCCAAAAATGTGAATTTTAAATAATACTCCTGAAAAGTTAGCTACAAAAGACACCCCGAAGTACATAGCAAATTTATGCTCATGACAGAAGTTCCTTATTACTAACAATGACCTTTGAGAGTACCTGTCCCAAATAGAACTTTTTATTTATTTATTTATTTATTTTTTGAGACAGAGTCTCATTCTGTCTCCCAGGCTAGAGTGCAGTGGTGCAATCACAGCTCACTGCAGCCTCGATCTCCTGGGCTCAAGGGATCCTCCTGCCTCAGCATCCCTAGTAGCTGGGACCACAGGTGCATGCCACCATGCCCAGATAATTTTTTAAAAATGTTTTGGAGAGACGGGGGTCTCACTATGTGGCCCAGGCTGGTCCCGAACTCCTGGCCTAGAGCAATCCTCCTGCCTCAGCCTTCCAAAGTGTTGGAATTATAGGTGTGAGTCACTGCATCTGGCCCCAAACAGAACTTTTGATTTGAGATTGACTGTGTGATTAACCTACAGCTTCATAAAATGGATCTTGAGAGCAACATTCTGGAGGTTAATATCCAGTTTAGGGATTCAGAGCATGTTTCTTAGGGCCTTGTATGGTGTCTGGGACAAAAGTAGGTGTTGGATAAATGCATTAACTCACTCTGCTTCATTTCCTGAGAACTTCGGGGAAAAGTGATCCTGAGAAGCCAATGACTCCTGTCTGAGATACCCACTATCTTTCCTGCTGTTCCACTTGACCACAGCAGAGATGGCATATTTAAGTGCTAATGTCCCTTGGGTTTCTGCCTGGGTTTGTGTGTCTTTTTGCTCGCCATGGTCTCCCAGTGTGATTGCATCCACTCCTTTCACCTCAGTCACAACCTCTATGCCTGAGACTCTGGGCCTCTCCATGAAATTCCAGCCCCATGGAGCCAACTGCCCACCAGGTTTCTAACTAAGACAGTTCCACTTGCATATATCATAGGGTGTCTCACATTGAACATTTCTCAGACTCATTATTTTGCCCCCAAACTTATCCTCCCATAAAATTGATCTCAGTAGTTAAATCCAGAAACCTAAGGCTTATTCTGGATGGCTCCCTGTTCCTCACTATTCCCCCACTTCCAGCCAATCACCAAGCTCTATTTAATTTATTCTGTCTCCTGGACATCTCTCAATTTAATCCTCTTCCTCCATTGTCACTGATGCTACCATAGTCCAAGCTGCCATCACGCTTTTCCTTGATTGTACCTAATCAGCCACCCAGCTACCAATCTAGGCCCCTCATTCCTGTCCACTGTTCACCCTGGAGGATTATTATACAACTCAGATCTGATCATGTCATTCCTCCAAGAGGTGTTTCCTCCTATCCAGCCTTCAGACTCAGTTTAGCAGCCAACCACTTTGAGAAATGTTGTCTGGTTCCGTGTGGATTAGATATAAATAGTGGAAATTATACATAGAGCATGTTTTTTTAAAACATGGAGTTGTGGATTGTATATAGAAAAAATTACAAAGATAAAGTCCTTTGTATGTTAGACCTATTGAATAAAAAACCTGTATTTACCTCAGAGTTAGTAGGAGTATTTGAACATCTTATAAAATAAACATCCTTGAAACCACAGGGTACGCACTAATATTTTTCTAGCATTGCGTTCTAATTCCATCTCAATTTTTCTAAGTCCATTTGCTATCATTATTTCCACTCAGAACCATCAAATTACTTGCCACCATCACCCCAGCAGAATCTCTTGACCATTGGAAAATTGTTACTAGATTATCCTATCTTCCTCCTTGCTTGCTTTCAGAGTCTGTTTTTTTTTTTTAAAGTTATTTTGCACTGTGTGATAAATCTCTATTTCAGGCCTGCTGCCTTGATTATATCCCCCTGTTTTTCCTAAGTCTGCCAGAGAATCCCACAGTCTTCAGAATCAAATACAATCTTCTAATAATAGACTTGAAAGTGTTCCATCAAACAGGCTCCTTCTTCCAGCCAGCTCTTCGAGTTGCACGTCAGTTATGGTGGCTCTCCTCTCCTTAAGAAGCCCTCGGCATACAAAAAACAATCTCTTAGTAGCAGTACGAGAATTTCTCTGTCCCAGAATCAGCTGTGGACTTACCTACTTAAGGAAACTTCATCCTATTTTTTTTTTCTTTTGCAACCCGCTGTAACATTCCCAAAATCTAACATCCTTTTTAATACATTTTAATATTATGATGCTTATTTGAATGCACTCTTCCTGTGGATCATATATTTTCCTGGTTTCTGAATTCTTTAAGGCAGGAACAGATTCTCGATTTCTATATACTGTATAATCCTGAATGCTTAGAAATGGGGCTGTTTGCCTGGTGGGTCTTCAATACCTATTAGCTGATTTTACTGATTAACACGTGGGTTTGTGACCGTATTGAGAATTCCACGTGGGAAAAAAACGAGGAGTCTGGATTCCGCCCTATGCACTAATTGTTGTTTAGGACTATAACGTAAAATATAACCAAATTTAAGATTTTGAATATACTCAAATCCTTGGAAACAATATTCCATAAAACCTAATAGAGAATTTAAACTAGTATCTAAGAAATAGATATGAGCTGTGACTGAAAATGTACATTTGAAATGTTTAAGGAATGCCTTCTATATCTGATACAACTAGGGACTTTAAAGCCTGATATTGCTCTCATGATGGTCTTTAAAAATTGTAAAAATTCTTGGGTCATTTCTGATTATAATCTGTAAAACAATCATTCTGAATTGCTGACTTGTGATATTTTGTAGCAATTTAATGATTTCCAACGCTCCAGTTTTTAGAGTTCCTGGTCACTGCCTAAAGATATATTGTAGTAGGTAGAATTCTAAACACGTTCTCCCAGTATTCTTGTCCCCTGGCTATTCTACCAAACACCAATGTTGGCACTGCTGTGAAGGAAACTTCCAGATGTATTTAATGTTACTAATTAGCTGAGCTTAAGGTAAAGATTCTCCAGGTGGGCCCAATGTAATCACATGAGCCTTTGGAAGTAGAAGAGGATTACAGAAGAGAGAATGAGTCAGTGAGATATGGCAGAAGATAAACGCAGAGAGATCCCAAACATGAGAAGGATTCTGCACATTTTTCTTCTGAGATGCAGGAACCGTGTGCATGGGCTGGAGAGAGGCCTTCAGAAGCTCAGAGTGACTCCCAGCTGACAGCCCACAAGGAAATGGAGCTTCAGTTCTACAACCGCAAGGAACTGGACTGTATCTATTGCCTGATTCAGCGTGGAAGCAGATTCTTCCCAGAGCCTCCCAGTGAAGGCATGGCCAGCTGACATCCCAGCTTTGGCCTTGTGAACCCTGAGGTAGAGAAACCAGTCATGACAACTTGGACTTCAAACTGCAGAACTGAAAGTTGCTAATTTTGAGGTAATTTGTTATAGAAGCAATAGGATATTAACACACATATCAAAGACAAACAAAGGTTGTTTGATCCCTTCCTTTCTTTTGCGGAAATTTTAACTCATTTGATACTGGAGGCAGCTCTTTCAAGCACCATCCTGCAATTCACAATGTTCTCTGGATGACCAGTACACGGTAGGTACTTTAATAAGCTTTAATAAGCTTTGTTAGAGAATGACATTTGGTTTGTAAGTCAAGTAAATTTTCAATGTCATTTAGAAAGAGTTTAACAAATTCAAATGTATTTATTGGAAATTTCACCATTAGAGAAAGATTTTTAATGCAACATTTGTGGCAAGGCTCCCGTGTACGTTAGGTCTAAGCATGTTAAACAGGACTGTATTTATATTTTAGTCCTGATTGTAAAGAGCAAACTCATATCCTTCCCAGCCAAAGTGTAAAAGCACGGTGATGAGCGGTCTTCCCCGTTAAGTTGGCCCGAAGCAGTGTCTCCTCACCTCCCAGTGGATGGGGCTAGATGTAACGCCGCATATTCAAAGCCTGTCTCACCAGTAAGATGACCACAGATTAAAATATTTCTTTGGTATGATCTAACAAGAGCCAAATAGAGTTTTCCTCCTCTATGAAAAAACATTTCTTTCATTAACCTGCCTGAAAATTTCACCTTTGGAGAGAAGGTCTTAAATGGAGTTACTAAAATGCTACCTTGAAGAAGAAATAACAATCATAATGCCTCTGTAGAGCTTGTTATACTTTACGAAGCATTTTTACAGATGTTTCCTAATTCCCTCATCACAATACCTCTGTGAAATGGGTGGGGTGGGGTTGTTTTTATTTATTTTGCCTCACAGCATCTATCCCCACTCACTAGCAGCACTTTTTTTAGAATCCTTAAGCAGGTGTGCCGTGCTCTCCTAGCCAAGGAGTAGAGAAGTGACCCCTCCAGGCCAGCTCGGCTGGTTCCTGGGGGTGAGCAGACAGGATGCAGTTGGCACACACATTCATTCATTCAGGCAGCATCCTGACAAACCACCGGTGCCAGACAGTGCAACACCCTGGGAGCTCTTACTGCAGCATCTTGGTGCTTCTTCCCTCCTTCTTGTTTTCAATCCTGTGTCCTCAGCCTTCCTGTCAATTCTATGAGCTCTTAATATCCTTTTAATAAATCTTTCATGCTCAAGTTATCCAGAGGTGATCAAGTTTATAACTCCTTTCTATGATACATGCCTTCTCCACACCTTTGCAAATGACCAGGGAGGGAATTTGGTCTTGTGTTAAGAGCATGAAACTGCAAGTGAGGAGTTCTGCATTCTAGCCTTGGCTTACCACTTAATTAGTTGTAGATGAGGCTGTTTCTGGGGGAAAAACAAAAAAAAAAACAAAAAAAAAAAACCCAAATGTTAAAAATCTGACTAAATATACCTTCTTAGTGTCTTACAGGCTGGGATAATCGGGCTGTTGGGAGTACTAAAAGCAAGGAAAAAATCCCGCTAAATTAAACCCAACAAACATTTATTTAAGGCCAATTTAAAAAACATTTAGAAAGAGGACATAGGAAAAAGAAAGAGATTGGGAGAAAACAGGATATGCTGTTTGATAAAAGAGCTTCAGCTCTGAGGATAGAAGTAGAGCTTCTCACCCTGGGTTTGGCAGTGTGGATACAGGAAGCTATGGGATGAATGTGGCCAGTTTTCTTAGTGGTACTTTATATTACAGTTTTGTGTGTCGGGGGGTGGGGGGATGTTGAGTAGTTTAGGTAATTTAAATAATTTTATATTAAACTATAGTTATAGGTTTTATAATACAAAATTTAAATACCTTTTAAGATAAGATATGCTACTGAAGGATATTTTGTCATTGTGGCTAAATTTTAAAACCTTACTCTCAGTCTCTTGGGAATATTTGGTTACTGGACGTCTTGGTAGAAGAGTTTAAAAATTACTATGTATGGAGAATAAAGAGAAAAGCTAGTTATAGAATGTCTGCAGGCACAGTTTAGGCAGCATCAACTATTGCTTACAGTTTAAGTGCTGGAAGGAGAATGGTTAAGATGAGAGGAAGAGAAAAAATGGCTGAATATAGTTGATTTTCAAAAAGGGATCAAAGCACATTCCATAAAATGTATACCCGTGATATCATCTTCAGTGCTGCCTAAATTTGTTTATTTCTTTTCATTTTTCCAGCTTCGGATTTTTTAGTGTTCATTTTTTAACATCACTAAATGCTTTGGTCTTAAATAAGAAATTCAGTTATTTGTATTAGTTAGAAATACATACTCCGTGAAATAATTCAATGAATTTGAAGTATTGAAAGTAATTAATTGTTTCTATTTCACATCTCAAATTTACCTCTTGGTAGATGGGAGAAATTGATTTGGCTGTGAGAATTTTCAGTTGCCTACATTTCTGAACTCTTATTCTAATTGTTAGTTGATTTTCTTGAATTTTAAAATTATTTTCAAATCATGATATGTCTTCTTCCTTTCTGATATTTATGCCTTTGCATTTTTTTGGAATATCTGAATAGTACCATTGACAGTGGGCACTTCAGTCTTTTAAAAAATTTAATTTGAGTCTTAATATTATTTAATGTAGTACATTTATGGTAGAAAAGTTATTGATTAGGGAAGTTGTCCATATTTTTCTTTGATTTAGAAAATATTCTATAAGATGGGAAATTTCTGTTCCTTGAAAGTTTGTTAGAATTCTACCATAAAGATAGCCATGTCTAGTAGTTCTCCCAGGAAGTTATAGCTTTATGGTTTTAATTCCTTCAGTAGGAATGGTCTAACCAAGATTCTATTCTTGAGTCAACTTTGAGAAATTTACTAATTTAAATTACCTTTAAGTTTATTAATACATTTGTACTTATAGTTTTAAACATCACCCTTACATAGTTTCCCTTTTCATTCCTAAGTTTTCTTTGTCCTTTTGAAAAAAGTTTTGTCCTGATTGTGCTTACCTGTTTTTCCAAAAAAGCACTTTTATTGGGGAAAATTTCAAACATATGCAAATACAGAGAGAATAGCTACTGAATCCAGTGTATCCATCATCTAACTTCAACAGTTATCAACATGAACTATCTTGTTTCATTTATACCTCTACAGACATATCATTGCAAATATAAACATTTAATGCATATCTTGTAGTTTGTATCTCTACACAATTGCTAACACTTTACAAATACATCCCAACAATAACATCACATCTAAATATGGATAATAATAATTTTTACTGTCAAATCTTTACAGTATTCAGATTTTCAGATGATCTAACGTGTGTGCATGCACACACGCACATGCTCTCACATACACGTTTGAATGAGAAACCAAATAAACTCACCATTGCAATTGCTTGATGTGTATCTTAAATTTTCTTTAATCTATGGGTACTATCTCTCCTTCTCTCTCTTTTGCTGCAATTCACCTATTAAACAATTTGCATGGTTTGTCCTATGGAGTTTCTCACATTTGTGATTTTGCCCATTGTATTCCCATTTAACATTTTCCTCTGTCCCTTCTATACCCTGTAAATTGCAGTAAGATTTAAGGGTTTGACTAGACTCAGTTTTATTTTTTTAAACTTTGGCGAAACTACTGTGTAATGGGGAAGAACCTGGCTCTCCTCTTTGTATGATGTTACCGGCTGCTGATAAGGATTGGGGATCCTCTATGATTACCCTGAGGTTAGATCCTGCAGGGAAGGCAGGATAAATATTTGATTCTTTCACTTTATTTACCAGTTTTCAAAATAATGAGTTTGTGAAAGTGAACAATGAGTTTTAAAACATATCATACGTTTACAAACATATTTGGGTGTTTCAATTGATTGCAATTATTATTGAGAGTCTGATTGTCTCACCATTAGCCTGTGGGAGCATATTCAGGTTGGATTCTAAATCCTTTTGACATGGGCCTTGTGGACTTTGGTAACTTTATTTTTCTAGTATAAGTATGGTGCATTTTCTATATTTGCTGTCCCTGGCCTGATATCGGCCATATTTGTCCAAGGAACACTGTTTTGGTTTTTGTTTGTTTGTCTGTCTGTTTTTCAGTGAAAAATAAATTTAAGGAAGACAGTTTGGCGTTAGGGATTTTTTTGCTACTGAGTTGGTCATTATTGCTAAGTCTTTTCAGTAGAAAGAGCTAGAAAATATGTTTTTAAATAAATTGGTCATAAGTTTGTAATGATACCTTCAAGTTAAATTTTAAATTTTATCTGGTTCCAAAATCAAAACTAAGAAAAAGGAGAATATATTAAAAGAACTAGCAAAGCCATTTTGTATTAAACCATCTTCTCTATAACTATTCTTTAGCCTTAGTTCTACAGATAAAGAGATATTGCCAAAGTCTGATGTCTTTTCAGATAAATGATGTGGCTTTTTTTGCCTGGATGCCCAAAGAGCTTTCTTTCCTTTCAAAAATGTCTAATGTTTGACTAGATCCTGTCTTAGTTTTGACCATTTTAGGCTAGGCTCCAAAGACATATGGTGGCTCTTTAATATATAGCTTGAAGTCATCTTTTATTTCAGAAAACTCTAGAATTACAATTTTTTCACTTGTCACATTGTCTTTGGGTACCCTCTTTATACATATGTTAGCTTTTCTTTACATATAGTCCAAATCTCTTCATTTCTTTCAACTCCTATTTCTCTTTCATCATATCTTTTATATTTTATCTATTTGCTCATATCTCCATATCATTAAAAATTTTCTCCTTTCCATCTTCTGTTTCTTTTAAGGCATTATCCTTTATGTTTACTAGCTCTTGTGCTCTTTCTAGTTTATCTTCATTTTTGGTACGATTTTTAAAAAAATTGTCTTTCGTAAATGTTGCCACCTCTTTGTAACACTTCATTTTCTAAAATCTCTTCATTGCTGAGTTTTTCCAACTTGGATGATATTGTTCTTTCATAGCTTCTGGCGGTGCTTTGTGTTAAAATAGGAGGTTACAGTTTTACCTGCTGGGCTTGTCTTTCTGACATGTTTTCGTTGCCGATAAAGACACCATCCTGCTCCCTTTTTGCTTAGAATAACTTTATGTGGCATTTGACTGAAATTCTTTCTTGTTCTTCATATTTTAAGTAACATTGGTAATCTTTTACTTATAGAAATGAAGGAGCAGTGGAGCAGTGAGCAAAGGAAGCTTTTTTTTTTTTCTTTTTTTAGCTTCATAGTTTTGGAAATCTTTTATCTTCTAAAAATGATGGGGAAAAAACCCTAGCCTCATCCTTTCTGAGATCCGCCTTCACGGCTTTCCTTCCCAACTTTCACATGGACCTTCCCTTCCCTGCTTCTATTGTCCTTCTCCTGCTCAATTTGGATTTTACTCCCAGCAATTTCTCTTCAGTGTAAGGCTTTGTCTCGGAATGGACCTCTGGTTAGCTAGTTTTGTGTGTTTTAAGGTCTAAATGGGCCCAACACTTCAGACCTTTTTCAATGTGTGCCCTTGTACACCCCTGTGAGTTGGGTCCAGGAGCTCTCTCCTTCCTGGCTTCGGCGGCTGCCTTAGGTGTCCATGCTGAGCTTGGCTGTGTGTCTCTTGGTTTGGAGGCTTGTGAGAAAGAAGCCCAGTTATGTTCTCACTGCTCCCTCCCACCCAGACACCTTGCAGTCTCGTAACTGTCAGTGGTTTGTCCCTAGGCATTTTGGGGGTTCGTCAGACAGCTGTCACCTAGCATCGTGCATCTTTGGCTCTGCTCTATTTTCGTGGTGGTTTTGGGAGATCAAAAGACAGGCCTAATCCTAACGCCATATTTTCCATCCAGTTTTGGGTTTTATTGATCAACTAATTTTTTTCCTACATTTTAAATTTCTGTCTTTGCCTTTAATGATCCTTTCTTTCTACTTTTTGGGGGAATTTACCTGGATTCTTCAATTAAAAGCTTATAGTCATTTTGTTATAGTCACTTATAATCATTTGCTTCTTAATTCCTAATAAATTCCTTTAAAAACTGTTTTTTCCTCTGAGCACTACTTTTGATATATATTCCTTAAATTTTGATACGTTGTGTTCTTGTTTTGTCGTATTCAGCTCTGTTTGTTTTTCATTTTCTTTCACTGTGATCGATACATGTTATATAATTAAAAATAATGTTATATAAATGCTTATATAACAGTAAACTTTTAGAATTTGTCCTTTCTTTTATAGCCTACTGTGTGATTAGTTTTTGTGAATGTTCTATGGGTGTTTGAAAAAAAACATATATTCTTTGTATGTTAGATAGAAAGTTCTTTATAAACTTTTTTATCTTGCTTGTTAATTGTATAATTCAAATTCTCTATTTCTTTTTTTCTCTTCTTGAATAAAATAATCCATCATTAATGTGGCTGAGGGAGGTAAGATAATTCATCATGAATGTGGCTGTAGTTTTGTCAATTTCTTCTTGATAGTTTTATCATTTTTGCTTCGAATATTTAAAGAAATATTGACAAGTTCATAGATGGTATGACTGTCACATTTTCTAAGCAAAGTTTTCCCTTTTTCAATATGAAGTATCCCTTTTGTCTCTTTTCACTTTGTTACCCTTTTATTTACTCTTGCCACATCTGCCTTCTTTCATATTCTTTCATTTATTCTTTCTCTCTTTTAAGGCATTTGTCTGATATTTCCTTTATTTTACTATTATTTTCACCATGTTGATTTAGGTGTACCTCATAAAAAGCACATAGCTAGATGTTAAACATTATAGAGCCTCTATCTTTTAATAGATGAACTTAACCCATTCACAGTTACGCTTTCTTGTAAGTTTAGACCTGTACCAATCACCTGTCGTCTTACTTTCTATTTATTCTTTCCATTCTAGGGTTCTATGTTGAATTGATTGCATTTTCTTTGTTCCATTGTGTGTGTTTACTAGTTTAAAAGTTACATATTTCATTTCTTTTTCTAGTTGTTATCCTTAGTTCAATACACAAATTCTATTTTCCTTCTCCTATGTCGATGTTTCTATGTTGATGTGACCTCCTCCCAGTATAATTATACTATATCTGCCTTCTGGAATAGTCTCTGTCTAGAATATAACACCAAGTACTTATCCCAGAATGTATGAGTATATATTTTATGAGTCCTTGAACACCTAAAAATCATTATTTACCTTTATACATGATTAATGGCTTGTCTAGTGTAGATTATTGGGTTCTAAATCGTTTTTCCTAAGAGATTTGAAAATTTTTTTAGGATTTTGTTTTCTCACATTGCTGATGAGAAGACCTTGTCACTCTAATTTTTGTTTGTATTTTTTGTTTTTCTTAAAGCACTTAAGATGTTCTATTCATTCATAACTATCTGAAATTTGACAAGAATGTGTCTAGGATGTGTGTGTGTGTGTATTTCAGTTACTTCTACTCAAGACTAGATGAGTCAATTTAATCTGAGAATTAATTTTTTCCCTCAGTAATTGGAGCATTTTCTCTATTATTTCTTAGAATATTTTTAAACTCCATTATTTCTATTCTTCCCAGTCAGAAATCCTACGAAATATGTATTTGGAATTCTAGACCAGCCTTTCATGTCTCTTGCATCTTATTTTATAATTTTAATCTCTTAGTCTTTTTATTGGCACTCTGAAATAATTTGTTGGCTCAGTCTTCCAAATCAATATTTTTCTCTTCAACTGATCACTTAACTATTGAGCCTCTAAATTTAATGTGTTTTACTTAATTTTAAAATAATAGTCTCACAAATATGAGACTCTTCAGTATATTTGTTCTAACCTCTTGTTCTGTTTGTCTATAAATTCTTTCTGCATGTACATCTTTCATTTTCTTGAAATGGTTATCCTCTGTAATGGAATGAGTTTTTATACATCGGTTGGTATTCCATGCTAATTACTCATCTTTTAGCTTGAGATACCCTGTCAGAGCACTGTTTCATCTGTTTTCACACCCTGCTGGCTAGGTAGGGGCAGACTACTTGACTGAGGCTTACTGGGACACCTTCAGAAAGAGTAGAGAAACAGATGCCCAGCTGGGTGTCTCCTGGGCATGGGTGGTCTCTGTATCTTCCAGGTGTCACCAGACACTCACACTACCTTGTCCCTGCAAACTTAGCTCCCCAATTCACTGTTCCTGGGTCACAGGCAAAGGCCTTTACTATTCACACCACAGCAAGCAGCATGAGCTTCCTGTTCATGTCAGTTCTCCTTTGTCCCCAAGTCCTGTAGGAGACATCTGACTGGCCCAGGTGAATGCTGAGCACACAGTGGGTTTGCATCATGGATGAGAAATTATGAGGGTAAGGAACCCAAATTTTTATAACAAGCAGCAAGCAAATCTGCATGAAATTTGCTATAGAGAGACATTATCTTTATTTTACTGGGTAGTTAGCAAATCTGCTCTCTGCTCCAGAGAGAGATACCATCTCTGTCTTCCATGGGGGTTTGCTATACCCCTATCCATGTAAAGATAATTGGGAATAAAAGCTCTGCTTACAGTCAGTGCCTCTGCTTGCAAGACACACACTAATGTGAGAGACCCATGAATTGTCTCCTGACACCATCTTATTAACCATATCATTAATAATGATTTTGAGTCTTTTAGATTGTCTGGGTATACAGTCTCAGCTGCAAATAATGATTTATTCTCTTCTCACTTTTCTGTATTTATATGACTTTATTTCTCAGCCTTTTTGAATCAGCTAGCACCTCTAAAACAATGTTAAATAATAATGCGAGTAATGGGTACCCCGTTCTGATTTCTTATGTCACAGCAGTGCACTGAACTTATGGGTATATTGTCACACTTCCCATTAAATATACATTGGCTATTAGTTTCTGAAAAATGTACTTTATTTTGTATAGACAAGTATTCTTGAATTTTTGTTTTACTTGTTTTTGTTAATTAATAAGGGGCTATAACATTTTCTTCATGTGGTTATATTAATTTTTCTTTAAAGTTTTAAGTATAATAAGCAACACCAAATGCTGGTGTTGAATCATTTTGGAATAAATCCTTTTGCTATATAATTCTCTATTTAATTTGGTAATAGTTTATTTCAAATTTGCATCTGTATTCATAACTAAAATTTTCTCTTGAAGATTATACTATTGTGACAAATTTGAAAACTTACTGTATTTTCCTATACTTTGCAATACTTTAAATAACAAAAGAAGTCCTTGTTCCAAGTAAGTTTTACATACTCACCCATAGGACCATGTGGTAAAACTAACCCTTTCAAAATATTAACTTTTCAGTTTTTATTTTCTAACAATTAAGGATTATATTAACATGTTTTAAAAGTGAAATAGTACTAGAAGACCAACAACCAAAAATAGCAATTCTTTTCCCTAACTCTTTAGGCATACTACCGAAAGACAACTATATTCAAACTTTTTTTTTTTGCTTTTTAACATTAAAATTCAAAATAATATGCTTAAACATCCATTTACATTCATCAATTTTGTTACTACCTATTGACTGCCTATAATGGCAGATGAGGATTTAGCTTCACACACTTTCTCATTGGCTACCTTACCAATATATTTTATATCTGTTTTCATTTAAATCAATATTCAATATTTATATTATGACTAAATATTTTTTGTTCTTGATCTAAGTTGTATACTATGATATTTTTCCCTTTTTCTTTCCAAGTTCTTGTGAGGTGGGAAGGGGAACAATAATTACCTCATTAAAGCAATTTTTTGCTTAGTTTTTTATTTATTTATTGCCAATTATTCTCCCATGCTCCATGATCAAGGTATTAGAAAAATTATTTCTTCAACTTCATTTTTCAGGCTACTTCTCCTCCTCTCCTATTCCAATCAGGATGGTAGCAGAGCCTACACTTGCAACATAGCTATCGTTTTGACACTTCATTTTCCTACTATTTTGAGAAATCTTTTAACTTTCTTCTGTTATGTTGATCCCATTTATTGGATCCTGAATCTTTCTCTTTTTTGGCTTACTTTTGTGAAGCACATCCTCCTGTATTTTCCTAATGAGGGCTTATGGGAAGTAAAACTTGAAGTTTTCCAAGTTTTGTATTAATTGATAGTTTGGATGAGTGTAGAATTCTAGGTTGAAACATCACTTTCCCTGAGGACTTTGAATGCGTTGCTTCATTACCTAATAATTTTCATTGATGTTGTCAAGAAGCTTGATGCCATTCTTATTCTCCATTTATTGGTTCATTAAAAATAAATTTATTGAGGCATATTTTTCATAAAGTATGCTAATATTAAAGATAGAACTTGAGGGATTTTTACATAAGGACAGAGTCACCTGCTGAGATTAGGTTACATAGAATATCTCTAGTGCATAAGAAGATTTCCTGTGTTCCTTCAGAGTTGATCATTCTTAGCCCCTAAACCTAACTGCTACTCTGACTTCTCTCAGCGTTACTTTTGCCTGCTTTTGAACATCATATAAATGGAGTCATAGAGTACAGACATTTTATTGATTATTGATATAATTCTTAGTAGATGACATTAGAGGTAGGAAAATGGCTAACAGCCTTAGATCCACAATGATCTATTCTTTTGTGTCATTCATGCTCACTGTCACAGTATTTTTAAAGTCACTTTATTGTCAATCTTTAAGCTATTTTTGTCCTCTTCATTAACAAGATTTATATAATATACTAGGTATGAGTAATATGCACTAGAGACTTGATTAGCATATCAATATAAAATAATTTGTTTGTCTGACCGGTGAATACTGAATCCTGTTATGGATATGAGAAAATCTTTTTTTTTTTTTGCCTTTTCCAGTACAATACAAATTGAAATAAATTTCAAGTTGCTTGATCCTTGGCCACTGTTTTCTCAAGAGACTCATTGTCTTAATTAATATAACAGAATTTTATATAAATGTAATTTATTTATATAAACAATTCTGTATATCTGTGACAGAAAAAGAAAATTTCAAAAATTATTTTTAAAAATCCAAAGGGAGCTGGAATTCACCCTTGTAATTTGTATTTATTACAAATGTTTGATACATTTAATTGTGTGGTTGCAATTATGAAATAGATCATTTATTAGAGCTGAAGTATTGCCCAGAAAATGTGAAGAGGGAGGAGAGGGACAAGAATGTTTTCAGTTTAATAAAGTTGACATCTGTACACTAAATAGAAGTGCTGTTATTGTCAGAGATTTTTTTTTCCCCATGCAGGAAATTGATGCCAAGTTCTTTAGCTTTACTATACTCACACTTATGGTTCTAATTGAAGAATGAATCAGGGTTGCAGTGTTCCTATTGGAAATATAAACTGAATAGACCTTCGGAGTAAAAGCTGAGCCAAAACAGTAAACCACTGATGTAGAATGTTTTGGCCATGTGGCTTTACTTTGTTTGCATAGCTGAGCAAAGTTCAAATACCTCACAATTATTTGCTCTAGTTATTTTTTTCATATTTGTAATATATATTATTATAATCTTGGCTATACTGGATTATTTTTAGTCTAGGATGATGCAGCTTACAGGCATTTCCCAACTTTATTGAAAGATAATTCATATGCAATAAACTGCACATATTTAAATTGCACAATTTGATGAGTTTGGACATATGTAGACACCCATAAATGAACATCCAACAGGATAACAAACATTTCCATCACCCAAAATGTTTTCCCATGCTCTTTTGCAATCCATCCCTTCCTGCACCCCTGTCTCTGGGAAATGACTGGTTAGCTTGCATTTTCTAGAATTTTATAAATGGAGCAATATATGCATATTTTGTCTTTTTCCACTCAGCATAATTATTTTGAGATTCATTCATTTGTTGTGTGTATCAATATTTCATTCCTTTTTTAGCTGGGTAGCATTACATTGTTTAGACATATCATATTTTTTTCTTTTACTTTTGTGGACATTTTTTTAATCTAGTTTTTGGCTATTAAGGATAAAGCTGCTATGAACATTCATGTACAAGTCGTTGTGTGTGGCCATATGTTTTCATTTCTTTCAGTAAATATCCAGGAAAGGAATGGTTGGGCCATATGGTAGGTATATGTTTAGCTTTTTAAAAAATTGGCAAGCCATTTTGCAAAGTGGTTGTACCGTCTTATATTCCCACCAGCAGAATAGAATATGCGAGTTTCAGTCACTCCACGTGCTTGTCCTTTGCATTGTCAGTCTTTTAGTTTTAGGCATGTAATGGGGGTATTCATAATGAGGTTCTTTTCATGTGTTTATTCTTATATTTTCTCTGGGTAAGTTTTTTTTTCAAATCTTTTGCTTATTTAAAAATTGAGCTATTTGACTTATTATTGAATACAAGCATTCTTTATATGCGGTGTTGTAAATAGAGTCCTTTGTTTGAAGAATGTTTGGTAAATATTTTCTCCAAAACTGCAAGTTTGCTTTTGTATCTTGATGGTGTCAGTCATTCAAAGATCAAGAGCTTTTAATTCTGATGAGGTTTTAATTTTTTCAAAACTTTGTAGAAATTGTGGATTTCGTGACCCAAGAAATATTTGCTCCACTCAAGGTCACAACAATCTTATCCTATGTTTCTCCTAGAAGTTTCATACTATTAGGTTTAAGATTTAAGTCTATGATCTATTTTAATTCATTTTTATGCATTGTGGGAGATAAAGTTTAATGTTCACTTTTTAAAATATATAGATTATCCAGTTGTTCCAACACCATTTAATAAAAAGACTCTTCTCATTGCCTTGAAACCTTTAACAATAATTAATTACATATATATACATTAAATATATATTTAAATACATTATGCATTATATATATGTGTGTGTATTTATATACTATCTATTGCATTTGATTGTCTCTGTGTTTTTCTGTTGGCTAATTCCAATCTAACTTGGTTACTGTAGCTTTATAAAAAATTTTTACAAAATATATTTTTTGGAGCAGTTTTAGATTAGATTAGATTCATAACAAAACTGAATAGGAGGTACTGAGATTTTCTATGTACTCCCACCCCAAACATGCATAACCTCCCTGTTATTGAATGAATGTTTGTGTTCCCATAAAATTCAGATGTTGAAACCTAATCGCCAGTGTGGTAGTATTTGGAGATGGGGCCTTTGAGAGGTGATTAGGTCATCATGAATAGGATTAGTGTCCTTATAAAAAAGACTCCAGAGGCCCTTACTTCTTTCCCCATGTGAGGACACAGAGAAAAGACAACCATAGATGTGTTAGTTCATTTTCACGCTGCTGATAAAGACACGCGAGTCTGGGAAGAAAAATAGGTTTAATGGACTTACAGTTCCACATGGCTGGGGAGGCCTCACAATCATGGCAGAAGGCAAGCAGGAGCAAGTCACAACTTACATGGATGGCAGCAGGCAAAGAGAAGAGCTTGTGCAGGGAAACTCCAGTTTTTAAAACCATCAGATCTTGTGAGATTTATTCACTATCATGAGAACAGCATGGGAAAGACCCACCCCCACGATTCAATTACCTGAGGTTCCTCCCATGACACGTGGGAATTGTGGGAGTTACAATTCAAGATGAGACTTGGGTGGGTTCACTGCCAAACCATGTCAAAAGATGAACCAGGAAGTGAGTCCTCACAAGACAACTAATCTGCTTGTGCCTTTATCTTGGACTTCCTCACCCCCAGAACTGTAAGAAATAAATTTCTGTTGTGCATAAGCCACCTAGTCTATAGTAGTCTGTTACAGCAGCCTGAACTAAGACACACCCTCATTATTAATATCCCCTACCAGAGTTGTACATTTGTTACAATTAATGAATCTACACTGACATGTCATTATCAACCAGAGGCCATAGGTTACCTTAGGATTCTCTCTTGGTGTTGGACGTTCTACAGGTTTGGAAAAATATATAATGACATATATTCACATATCATACAGAGTAGTTTCACTGCCATAAAATCCTGTGTGCTCTACCTATTAATCTCTCCTTTCACCCCAACCCCTATGTTTTTTTTTTACTGTATTTATAGTTTGCCTTTTTTAGAATGCCATGCAGTATGTAGACTTCAGATTGACTTTTGCTATGGTTTGAATGTTTGTCCCTTTCAAAACTCATGTTAAAATGTAATTGGCATTGTAATAGCATTAAGATGTAGGACCTTTATGAGGTGATTAGGTCATCAGGGTTCCACCTTTATGGATGGGATTGGTGCTGTTATAAAATGCCAAGCTCAGCCCTGTCTTGCTCTCTTGACCACTTGCCCTCCACCATGTAATGACACAGCAAGAAGGCCCTTATAAGACACTGGCACCTTGCTAATGGACTTTCCAGCCTCTAGAACTGTGAGTCAACAAATTTCTGTTCATTGTAAATTACCCAGTCACAGGTATTCAGTTATAACAGCACAAAATGGGCTAATATAGTGTCTTTCATTTATTAATATGCACTTAATTTCCTTCATGTGTTTTCATAGCTTAATAGCTCATTTCTTGTTAGTGCAGAGCAATATTCCATTGTCTGGATCTTCCACAGTTTATTTATCCATTCACCTATTGAAGGACATCTTGATTGCTTCCAAGTTTTGGCAATTATGAACAAAGTGGCTATAAACATCTTGTGTGCAGGTTTTTATGTGGACACAAAATATCAACCCCTTTATGTAAATATCAAGAAGTGTGATTGCTGGATCATATAGTAGGAGTATGTTTAGTTTTATATGAAATTGCCAAACTGACTTCCAAAGTGACTATATCATTTTGCATTCCCACAAGCAATGAATGAGAGTTCCTGTTGCTTTACATCCTCACCAGCATTTGGTGATGTCAGAGTTCTTAATTTTGGCTATTATAATAGATGTGTAGTGGTATCTCATTGTTTACTTTGCATTTTCCTGATGACATCTGTTGTGAACCATCTTTTCATATGCTTATTTGCTAACTGCATATCTTCTTTGGTGAGGTGTCTGTTCAGATCTTTGGCCCATTTTTCAATTGGGTTCTTTGTGTTCTTATTGTTAAGTTTTAAGCATTCTTTGTGTATTTTGAATTTAAACACTTTTTCATCAGGTAAGTCTTGCAAATTTGTTCTTTTAAATAATTTCTTAGGCTATTCTATATTCTTTTACTTTTATATATATTTTTAAATAGCTAGATAATTTCTACCAAAAAAGCTTTGATTGAAATTGTGTTAAATTCATATATCAATTTAGTTATAACCAGTATCTTAATGATATTGGCTTTTCTAATCCATGAATATGTTATAACTTTCTACTTACTTAGGTCTTTAAGTGCTTTATAGATTAATTGAGATTTTGAAAAATAGAAACAGTTTTATTTCTTTTTCTATGATCTTTATGACTTACACATCTGGTTTTTTTTCTTTTTTTGCCTTACTGCAATGGCTGATACTTCAATTATAATGTTAAGTAGAAGTGGTGAAAGGGAGCATTCTTGCTTTGTTAATGATTTTCGAAAAAAGAGTTCAATACTTTTGCCATTTGATGTTAGCTGTTTTTTTAATTGGATTGAGGAAGTACCTTCCTATTCTTAGTTTGCTAAAAATGTAAATGTGAATATGTGCTGGATTCTGCCAACTGCTTTTTCTGCATCTACTGGAGTGATGTTACAAATTTTCTTCTTCATTATTTTAATATGTTAAATTACATTGTTTGAGTTTTAAAAAATGTTCAACCAATCTGCTTTTCTGGGATAAAACTTACTTGGCAATAATGTTTATTTATATACATTGTTGGATTCCATTTGCTAGTATTTCTCAAGAAGTTTTTATATGTATGTTCATGAAGGATATTTGATTTGGTTTATACTCAGAAAATGAGTTGTAAGTCCTTCTACCTTTTCATTTTTCCGAAGACATTTCTGTAGGATTGATTTTATTTTTTTCCTGAATATCTAATAGGATTCATCTGTAAAATGATTCATGCTTGATTTTCTTTTGCTGTTGTTAAAATTTCAAATATACAATAACAAATTCAATTTCTTTAATTTATATAGGAATATCCAAAATTTCTGCTCTATTTTTTATTATTTTAAAATGGTATTTTTAAAGGCATTTTTCATTTCATGTAAGTTTGCTAAATTTATTGACCTTTTCCCAAAATATTCTTATTTTCCTTTTAATATCTGTAAGATTTGTGTTGATTATCCCATTTTCATTTCTGATATTAGTGATTTGTGTTTTTTTTTCTTCTTTTATTGATCAGTCTAGGGGTTGTCAGTTTTGTGGATCTGTTGATAAACTACTTTTTTCTTGGTTCATTTCCTCTGTTGCCTTTTTTATTGTGTTGATGTCTAGTCTTACATTTATTATTTTATTCTTTCTACTTCTTTTGACTTGTTCTTATTTTTCTAAACTTTTTGTTAGAACTTTAAGTCTTTGAGTTTAGATCTTTTTTTATTCTAATGAAAACATTTAAAACAGTAAGTTTCTCTCTAAATATTATTTTGTTGCATCCCACATATTTTGATATACTATATTTTTGTTATTTAGTTCAACATACATTAAAATTTCATTTGTGATTTGTTTCTTCAAACATGAGTTATTTAGAAGCATTTTAGCCTACTAAATATTTGGGGTTTTCCAAGGTATCTTTCTGTTATTAATTTCTAATTTAATTCCATGTGTCCAGGGGATATCCAGTATATTATGTCAATTTTTAAAAAGTTTTCAGAATTTTTTTATAGTCATTCTTGGTAAATGTGTCATGTGCACTTGAAAAGGTTGTATTTTCTATAGATTTTTGGATAAATTGTTCTATAAATGTCAATTAGATCAAGGTGATTGATATGATTATTTAAATCTTCTATGTATTTCCTGATTTTTCCTCTGTAAATATTTCATCTATTGCTGAAAGAGGGATGCTAAAATCTCCTACTGTGATTGTGGAATTGTCTCATTTTTGTTTCTTTTATTTTTCCAATTTATCCTGCCTTCATATTGATTATTCGTTGTTAGATACATACATATTCATGGTTATTGTGTCATCCTGATGGATTCTCTTCATTTATCATTATAAAATGTCTATCTTTATAACAGGAAATACTCTGTCTTAAAGTCTACTTTATCTACTATAAACACTGCTCCTCCAATCTTCATTTGCTTAAAATTTTCATTGTTCCATCCATTTTCTTTCCCAAAATCTGTTTATATATTTAAAACGCCTCTGTCCTAGGCAGCATTTTATGATTGTTTTGCTTTTTTATCCGTTCTGACATTCTTTAATTTTTTTCAATTTTTTTCTTTTCTTATTTATTTATGTTTGTAAATGATTAAGCTCTTTAGTGGTGATTTCTGAGTTTTTGGTGCACCCATCACCCAAGCAGTGTACACTGTACCCAGTATATAGTCTTTTATCCCTTACCCCCCTGCCACCCTTTTCCCTGAGTTCTCAAAGTCCATTGTATTGTTCTTATGCCTTTGCATCTTCATAGCTTAGCTTCCACTTATGAGTGAGAACACATGATGTTTGTTTTTCCAATCCTGAGTTGCTTCACTTAGAATAATGGTCTCCAATTCCATCTAGGTTGCTGCAAATGCCATTATTTCATTCCTTTTTATGGCAGAGTAGTATTCCATGGTGTGTATGTATATATATAAAGCCACATTTTCTTTATCCACTCATTGATTGATGGGCATCTGGGCTGGTTCCATATTTTTGCAATTGCGATTTTGCTGCTATAAACATGTGTGTGAAATTATCTTTTTCATACAATGACTTATTTTCCTCTGGGTAGATACCCAGGAGTGGCATTGCTGGACAAAATGGTAGATCTACTTTTAGTTCTTTAAGGAATCTCCACACCATTTTCCATATTGGTTGTACTAGTTTACATTCCCACCAACAGTGTAAAAGTATTGCTTTTTCACCACATCCACACCAACATCTTTTTTTAAAATTTTTGATTATCGACATTCTTGTAGGAGTAAGGTGGTATCATATTGTGGTTTTGATTTGCATTTCCCTGATAATTAGTGATGTTGAGCATTTTTTCATATGTTTGTTGGCCATTTGTATATCTTCTTTTTGGAATTGTCTATTCATGTCCTTAGTCCAATTTTTTGATGGAATTTTTTTTTCTTGGTGATTTGTTTGACTTCCTTGTACATTCTGGATATTAGTTCCTTGTTGGAAGTATAGACTACAAAGATTTTCTCCCACTCTGTGGGTTTTCTGTTTCCTCTGCTGATTATTTCTTTTGGTGTGCAGAAACGTTTTAGTTTGAGTCCCATCTATTCATCTTTGTTTTTATTGCATTTACTTTTGGTTTCTTCGTCATGAAGTCTTTGCCTAAGCCAGTATCTAGACGTGTTTTTCCAATGTTATCTTCTAGAGTTTTTATGGTTTTAGGTCTTAGATTTAAGTCTTTGATCCATTGTGAATTAATTTTTGTATAAGGTAAGAGATGAGGATCCAGTTTCATTCTTCTACATGTGGCTTCCCAATTATCTCAGCATCATTTGTTGAATAGGGTGTCCTTTCCCCACTTTATGTTTTTGTTTACTTTGTCAAAGATCAGTTGGCTGTAAGTACTTGGCCTTATTTCTGAGTTCTTGATTCTGTTCCATTGGTTTACATGCCTATATTTATACCAATACCATGCTGTTTTGGTGACTTTGGCCTTGTAGTATAGTTTGAGGTCTGGTAATGTGATACTTCCAGATTTGTTCTTTTTGCTTAGTCTTACTTTGACTATGCAGGCTCTTTTTTGGTTCCATATGAATTTTAGAATTGTTTTTTCTAGTTCTGTGAAGAATGATGTTAGTATTTTGATGGAAATTGCATTGATTTTGTAGATTGCTTTTGGGAGTATGGTCATTTTTACAATATTGCTTCTAGCCATCCACGAGCAAGGAATGTGTTTCCATTTGTTTGTGTCATCTATGATTTATTTCTGCAGTGCTTTGTAGTTTTCTTTGTAGAAGTCTTTTACTTTCTTGGTTAGGTATATTCCTAAGTATTTTAGTTTTTTGCAGATACTGTATAAGGTGTTGAGTTCTTGATTTGATTCTCAGCTTTGTTGCTGTTGGTGTATAGCAGAGCTACTGATTTTTGTACATTAATTTTGTATCCTGAAACTTTGCTGAACTCATTTACCAGTTCTAGGTGCTTTTTGGATGAATCTTTAGGGTTTTCTAGGTATACAATCATGTCATCAACAAACAGTGACAGTTTGACTTCCTCTTTACCAATTTGTATGCCCTTTATTTCTTTCTCTTGTCTGATTGTTCTGGCTAGGACTTCCAGTATTATGTTGAACAGAAGTGGTGAGAGTGGTCATCCTTGTCTTGTTCCAGTTCTCAGGGGAAATGCTTTTAATTTTTTCCTGTTCAGTATGATGTTGGCTGTGGGTTTACCATAGATGGCTTGTATTACCTTAAGGTAAGTGCCTTCTATGCCTATTTTGCTGAAGGTTTTAATCATAAAGTCTTGCTGGATTTTGTCAAATGCTTTTTCTGCCTCTATTGAGATGATCATGTAATTTTTGTTTTTAATTCTGTTTATGTGGTGTAACACATTTATTGACTTGGATATGTTAAACCATCCCTGCATCCTTGGTATAAAACCCACTTGATCATGGTGGATTATCTTATCCATATGCTGTTGGGTTCAGTGAGCTAGTATTTTGTTGAGGACGTTTTCATCAGGGATATTGGTCTGTAGTTTCATTTTTTTTTGTTATGTCCTTTTCTAGAGTTGGTATTAGGGTAATACTGGCTTCATATAATGATTTAGGGAGGACTCCCTCTTTCTCTATCTTTTGGAATAGGATTGGTACCAATTCTTATTTGAATGTCTGATAGAATTCAGCTGTGAATCTGTCGGGTCCTGGACTTTTTTTTGTTGGTAACCTTTTAATGACCATTTCGATCTCACTGCTTGTTATTGGTCTGTTCAGAGTTTCTATTTCTTCCTGTTTTAATCTAGGAAGGTTGTATATTTCCAGGAATTTATCTGTCTCCTTTAGTTTTTCTAGTTTATGTGCACAAAGGTGATCATTTTAGCCTTGAATGATCTTTTGTATTTCTGTAGTATTGGTTGTAATCTCTGTCATTTCATTTCTAATTGAGCTTATTTGGATCTTCTCTCTTCTTTTCTTGGTTATTCTTGCTAATGGTCTATTAATTTTATTTATCTTTTAAAAAACCCAGGTTTTATTTCATTGGTATTTTGTATTTTTTTGTTTCAATTTCATTTAGTTCTGCTCTGATCTTGGTTATTTCTTTTCTTCTGCTGGGTTTGTGTTTGTTTTGTTCTTGTTTCTCTAGTTCCTTGAGGTGTGATCTTAGATTGATATATTTAAGAGTATGAGCTTTCTTCTTAACACAGCTTTTGCTGTATCTCAGAGGCTTGATAGGTTGTGTCACTATTTCATTCAGTTCAAAGAATTTTTAAATTTTCATCTTGATTCCATTGTTGACCCAATGATCATTCAAAAGAAAGTTATTTAATTTTCATGTATTTGCATGGTTTTGAGGGTTTGTTTTGGAGATAATTTCCAATTTTATTCTGCTTTGGTTTGAGAAGATTACTTGATATAATTTCAATTTTCTTAAATTTGTTGAGACTTGTTTTGTAGCCTATCATATGTTTTGTAGTCTACCATATAGCCTATCATATGGTCTATCTATTCATCATGTGCTGGTGAATAGAATGTACATTCTGCAGTTGTTGGGTAGAATGTTCTGTAAACATCTGCTAAGTCCATTTGTTGTAGGGTATAGTTTATGTCCATTGTTTCTTTGTTGACTTTCTGTCTTCATGTCCTGTTTAGTGCTGTCAGTGGAGTATTGAAGTCTCTGGCTATTAATATGTTGCTGTCTATCTCCTTTCTTAGGTCTAGTAGTAATTGCTTTATAAATTTGGGAGCTCCAGTGTTAGGTGCGTATATATATTTAAGACTGTGATGTGTTCCTGTTGGGCTAGTCCTTTTATCATTATATAATGTCATGTCCCTCTATGACTTTTAAAACTATTGCTTTAAGGTTTGTTTTGTCTGATATAAGAATAGCTACTTATGATCACTTTTGATGTCCATTTGCTTAGAATATCTTTTTCAACCCCTTTACCTTAAGTTTATGTGAGTCCTTGTGTGTCAGGTGAGTCTCTTGAAGACTGCAGATACTTGGTTGATGAATTCTTATCCATTCTGCCATGCTGTATCTTTTAAGTGGAGCATTTAGACCATTTACATTCAGTATTAGTATTGAGATATGAGGCACTATTCTATTCCTTGTGCTATTTGCTGCCTGAATACCTTGTGGTTGTTGTTTTTCCTTGTGTTATTGTTTTATAGGTCCTGTGAGATTTATGCTTTAAAGTGATTCTATTTTGGTGTATTTTGAGGATATGTTTCAAGATTCAGAGCTCCTCTTAGCAGTTCTTACAGTGCTGGCTTGGTAGTGGTGAATTTTCTCAGCATTTGTTTGTCTGAAAAAGACTGTAACTTTCCTTCATTTATGAGGCTTAGCTTCACTGGATACAAAACTCTTGGCTGATAATTGTTTTGTTTAAGAAAGTTAAAGATAGGACCCGAATCCCTTCTAGCTTGTAGGGTTTCTGCTGAGAAATCTGATAGGTTTTCCTCTATGGTTTATCTGATGCTTTTGTCTCACAGCTATTAAGATTCATTCTTTTTTCTTGACTTTAGATAATCTGATGGCTATGTACTGAGGTGACGATTTTTTGTGATGAATTTCCCAGATGTTCTTTGAGTTTCTTGCATTTGGATGTCTAGATCTCTAGCAAGGCTGGGGAAATTTTCCTTGATTATTCCATCAAACATGCTTTCCAAACATTTGGATTTCTCTTTTTCCTTGGAACACCAATTATTCTTAGGTTTGGTTGTTTAACATAATTCAAAACTTCTTGGACGCTTTGTGCATTTTTTTAAAATTCCTTTTTCTTTCACAATTTCATTTTTATTTATGCTGTTTATATCATTAACATTTAGTATAATTACTTAAATGCTAAATATATAAGTAACTTAGCATTATGTGATCCTTTTCATTATTTGCTTTCTGCTTATTACCTCTTCTTTTTTTAATGTTCTCCCTTACTATGTTATTAGAATATATTTTACCATTATATTTTAATTTTTATGTTGCTATACTTATTGTTATTTTAGTTATGCATATTTGCATTTTAAATGGTTGCTGTAGGAACAACAATATCTTCCTTAAACTGCTTATAATATTGTATGTAAAATTAAAAAACTTGTGATCATATAGGTCTCCATAATACTTATTTTACCATATATACACTGTCATATGTATTACAATTATATACATTTAAAAACCTCACAAGACAATGTTGTAATTTTTATTTTAGTCAGTCATAGGTATTCTACAGAGCTAGAGAAAATATATTTAGCAGTATATTTATCATTTTTAATACTTTTCATTCCTTCCTGAGGATTTAAATTTTTCTCTGAAAACATTTCTCTTCAACCAGAAGAAATTTATTAACCATTTCTTACAGTAATGGTCTGCTGGTGACTTTTTTTTTGTTCGTTTTAAAATGCCTTCATTTCACCTTCATTCTAAGACTATTTTTCAGTTGGTATAGAATTCTGCATTGACAAAATTTTAATTTCAATATTTTAAAAATATTGTTCCACTGTCTCTAGCCTCCATGGTTTCTAATGAGAAATCTGTGATTATATGCATTGTGATTTCACTGTATGTATTGCACTTTTTTTCTTTTTATTCTGACTACTTTCAAGTTTTTCTCCATATCTTTAGTGTTTTACAGTTTGAACTGTGATGTATTTAGGAATGATTATCTCTGAAGGTATTCCTTTTGGGGTTTTCTGAACTTTTAAAATAAACAAATTTATGACTTTCACATAACTTGGAAAACTTTTTGGCAATTTTAAACTTTTTTCTCTGTTTCTCCCTTTCTCCTTCTGGGATTCTAATTACACACTTATTAGACCCTTTGATATTTCACAAAGCTCTCTGAGGATCAATTGTTTTCTATTTGTTTTTCATATAGGATAATTTCTTTTCATCTGTCTTCAAATACATAGAATTTTGCATTGTTCATCTTTCCTCTGCTATTAAGTTCATCCTATAAAATTTTTCTGTTTGTTGATATTCCTTATCTTTTCACTTGAGTACTTTTTTTAACCTCATGGAGCATAGTTATAATAGCTGCTATAAAATACTCATTTAATAATATTCTAATATGTGGTTTAACTCTTTATTGACCCATATTTGCTTGTCATCTGTTCATTGTCTTTCTCTTGAGAATAGGTCATATTTTTCCAATATATTGAGTAATTTTGCATTGTTTACTGCACATGGTGAATGTTATGTTCTGTGGACTCTGAGATTGTTATGGAAAATGTTGATGCTTTTGTTTTATTGGGCTATCAATGTAGTTAGACTCAAACTTAAGGAGTGTCTTGCTTTCTTTGGATGATTGTTTAATTTTCATCTCAGTTCTCTTATTCTTTAATGCGTAGTCTTGAGCTGGTTTCATGTATGTGTTGAGAGGCCAGCCAGAGTCTTGTTGGGGGTGGGGGTAATACACAGAATGAGGGGTCTACATCCTTGGCTGTATTCTTTCTAGTATAATCCCACTCACTCTCCAGGAGTTGCTTAACATCCTTTTCCTGATTGCTCTAGCCCAAAAAGACATTGGGTTTCTATTGGAATTTTAACTACTTGTATCATATTGCTTTATGGCACTGCTTTATTTCACAAAAGAAAAGAAAAAATGGGAGGCCCACTCTCATGCTGGTTACCTGCTTTTCTTTACATTTCAGAATCCTCAGACAATTGTCTACTCTATTTTGTACAGCATTTACAGTTGTTTTCAGCAGAAAGATTGTTTTGTAGGGAGAATATTCTACCATATTAGAAGTTGAATTTCCAAATTAAGGTGCTTTTCAAAAGAACACTTTAGCTAGTGATAATAAAAAATTTGAAAATTGGGGCATGAATCAGAATTCTGAATTTAAATATGGATTATAGTCTTCTAGATAAGATTTTACTGTTTATCTTGTTTTGTGGCCTTGGGTAAGTCAGTAAATATTTATAAGCTGCAAATGTTTTATCCTTAAAATAGGAATAGTGATCACATCTCTGCCAAGTTCACAAGGTGTGAGGATAGCATAAAATACTGTTCAAATTATCAATTTTTGTTCATTTGTTCAAACTCTCATTATATATTTTAAATACAACCTATGAAGTTTTAATAAGTACCTACTTAACTCACTCCACCATTAGTGTTTTCCCTATTTCTGAAAAGAAAATCTTAAATTTGCAGCCATCCACATCTGTTATTTACTTTCTGAACTTCCGTTCCTACAACCTCATCTTAGTTGAACCACATATGCCTTGTATATGTCTTTTGTATGCATCTGTCCATGGTTTGTTGATTTTAAATAGAATTCCCTCACTATATCTTTGGCTATGTAGATGTTGTCTTTTTCTTGAGATCTAGCTCAAATACTATATTAGTTCATTAATAGCTCCAGCAATTCATTATCTCTCTATCTCTCTCTCCTGGATAATTGTATTTTCCCCTCTTTCTTCTAGATTAATCTCACTTATGTGTTATAATATCACTCATTAAAAAATAAAAAAACTTGTTGATTCCATATTTTTTTCTAGTTGCCGTCCCATATCTCTTCTCTCCATTATTAGAAACTTAAAACAGCCTATGTAGTATTTTCAATTCCTCTCCTTTTATTCTTTCTAGAACTCTCTCTAATCAGGTCTTCACTTCCACCAAATCACGGAACTTGTTCTTGTCAAGGTCACCAATGACTTCCATGTTATTAAGTCTAATGGTTAATTTTCAGTATCAAATTACTCAACCTCTTAGCAGCATTTGACAGAGGCAATCAATTCCTTCTCCTTGAAAAAATTTTTAATTTGTCTCCAGGAGAGTTAACTTCCTTGGTTTATCTCCCTATCTCCCCAGTAATTTCTCCTTAATTTTCTCTCATTTTGATCTCCCTGTCCTTGGAATGTTGTGCCCACTTTTTGTGCCTATTCTGTAATTATACTGATTCTATTAACTATCTCATCCAATCTTGTGGCATTAAGTACCAAATCCTGGCCTGTCCTGTCCTCTGAATTCTGGACTCATATATCCAGTCAACTACTAAACTTGAATTTTAGAAGGTATCTTAAACATAACACACAAGAAAAAAAACCCTCATCTTTCTGCCAGATGTGCTCCTTCACAGTCTTACTCACTTTAATGATCATAATTTAATGCTTCCAATTCCATTAGCCCCAAACTCAGTGTCCTCTTTTGACTTACTTTTATTCTCTCACGTCTCATATATAGCCCATCAGGAAATCCTGTTTGCTTTATTTTCATACTATATAAAAAGAAATATGACTTTCTGAACACCCCCAATGTTGATACTCTGGTCCATTCCATCATTATCTCTTACCTGTTTATTTGCAATAACTTCCTAATTGATCTTGCTTCCATTTTTGTTCGTGTTATATTCTAAAAATAGCAGCAAGAATGTTCCTTTTTTTAATCATGTCATTCTTTGCTCAAATACCTCCAATGCCTTCCTATCTTACTTGAAGTAAAAGCCGAAGTCCTTGCATTGTCCTATAGGGACTTACACTGTTTGGCTGCCTTTCTTCTCTCATATTCTCCTATAATCTCTCTTGTTTCTCCTTACCCTTCAGCCATACCATTTTTACTCTTCCTTGAATGTGCCAGGTTACCTCCAGTTTGACATTTTCCAAGCATAATACAGGGATTCAGGGGGATAGCTGTGATGTAATGTAATGCTTTGATTTTTATGGGAATAATATAATTACTGATGCAAATAAAATCGGTATAAATACATTCACTTTATTTATTACTATTATCATGATCACCATCAATGGAAACAACAGAATTTGAGCCAAGTTCTTAAAGTTCTACTTAAAATTAGGTACGTTTACTTGTTTGTGCATGGATAAATTCATCAGATTCTAATACATAACTCAGAGTGAAATTATAAAGCATGTATACTGATAATGTATGCAATTAAAACAAATTAGGAAAGGAATTGGTAAGTAGAGCTAACTTCCGGGCTGGTGGTGGTTGGCAGGATGGACCATTAAAGCAAACCTCTTCTGCTGCATAATTTGGTGAGTTTTGTCAGGGGTGATTTTTTTCACTCTACATTGGTCATATCTTTATATTTTCCATATATAAATTTCAGAAATAAAGCAAAATATGGACAATTTTAAGAACATTTAGAGTAACCAATGACAACTAAGAAGAAAACTAAAGCTATTGCTTATAAGTTGAAAGCAGTGGGCATATTTAACCTGGATAGAGAACAGTGTATGAAAGAAACTAAACAATAGGGGCTGACCTAGAGTTTGGACAACAGATGCTGTCAAGCTACTCTGAAAATGGCCACTGAAGAGTTTACTGGAAGAATTTTCTCATGTTCTGTGTTCTCATTCCTCACATGGTTTGGCTGTGTCCCCACCCAAATCTTATCCTGAATCGTAGTTGCCATAATCCCTATGTGTTTTGGGAAGGACCCAGTGGGAGGTAATTGACTCGTGGGGGCATTACCCCCATGCTGCTGTTCTTATGATAGTGAGTGAGTTTTCATGAGATCTGATGGTTTTATAAGGGGCTTTTCCTCCTTTTGCGCAGCACTTCTCCTTCCTGCCACCATGTGAAGAAGGATGTGTTTGCTTCCCCTTCTGCCATGATTGTAAGTTTCCTGAGGCCTCTCCAGCTATGCTGAACTCTGAGTCAATTAAACTTCTTTTCTTTATAAATTACCCAGTCTCAGGTATGTTTTTATTAGCAGCATGACAAGTCATGAATTACATCATCAAAGGTGGATGTAGATGCAATCTCCATGCTAAGATTTGAATATAAGATCATTTTTTGTGGATCTAGAATAGTTTATCTGTGGTCCCCACAGAGGATGTAGGCACTGACTCTGTTGACCTCTCAAGGACTCTTTCAACCCTATCCTTGTATGAGTCTATTATTAATTAGTGAATGAGAGAATCTTTTAATTAATGTTACAGTTAAATCTGCCTGAGGTATGGTTATATCCCTGGCATTTCTGAAAAAGCATAGATATGATTTCCTTGAAAAGACCCTTTTGGGAAATAGTTAGAAGAAGCCTTGCTGAGTTATCAAAGAATCATCTGCCTTTTGGTGTTTGTGAAGGACCAGTCTGTTTATCATAGGACAATGTTTAATAGGAAATTAGTAACCATATAAAATAGCATGGCAAAAGATCAGCTATTTTGCTTTCGGCAAGAGCTAATAATTTTTTTTTATTTTTCAAAAGCAGTATAATGCATGATTTTACCTTCCATTTTTCACAAAATAAAAACATTTTGCATACATTTTTTCAGGAGCGAGCCATAGTATTGTACAAAAACTAAGAATCATCTAAAACAATACCTTGGCATAAATTTTAAAAAAAAGATTGGATTGTAACTGCACAACAAAAAACAATACTAGTCTTGCCTCATTGCACTGAATTTCTACAGAGCATAAAACTTTCATTAGAAACAAAACTGTGAAAATAATAAATGGATATTACAAATTAAAACTGGAGCAACTACAAGGTGCATCCCCCAAATAATTTTTCTCCATTCACCATGTTCTAGTTGTATTGGAAGCTCTTTTTTTGATTTGCAAAACAAATTTCACTCTCCAAATTAAGGAAAATATTTTTGATGTACATGATTATAACAGGCTGTTGAGTTAAGACTCCAAGCCCTTTGGAAAATAGAGAATCTTATTATTTCTAATACTGGACAATATAATATAATAAAGTTGAAATTCTGTTATTATCAAAACTCTTTTTCTACATTCAAATGATTCCCAGTGATGCACTCAAAATCATACTCATTACAACATTTATATTATTCCTATTATTGTGGTTAGTAAGTATTACTGTATTTCATGGAGGAGAAAGAGGTAATAGCCTTTGATGAAAAGAAGCCAGAAGCATTTGAAACAGCTGTTTTAGTTAGCCAAAGGGAAAAAAACATTTTGTTGCTTTAATCTACTTACATTTGGATGACTATTTGCCATCAATTTTAACTTATGTTTGCTTCCTCTAATTTTCATGGGCAACTAATGTGGCACATATCCCTCCAATGATTAAAGTGTATCTATTCTGAGATTTCCTGTTGAATTATTCACCCACAGGGGAATTTCTGTCTTGGGAAACAGGACCAAACTTTTACAATCACTTTTTTTTTTTTTAAAATCAAAGTAAATAAGCATACTTACATTGTTTGATTGTCAAGTTCTGTTTTCAAATCCAAGTTTCCTAATTGACTCTGCTGGAATAGAAAGACAAAAAATACCTTCCTTCTACTTACATGGAAAATATTTGGAATATGCTGGGTTATTGAATGATGATGTCAATCTTTGGGTATTTGGGGCATTGACTCCTATAAAGTCCTTATCTCATTGGGGCCATAATGTCATGTGAACTCCCAGGCAGAAGAGCCTTTAGTACTGGCCTCACTGATCTGTCCCATCTATATTTTCTGAACCATCAGCCACTGTTGTAGCTGCTTCCTTCTCTGTCACCCTCTATTGCCTTAATACAATTGGTAGGATTACCACTCATTTAAAAAGAGAAACAAGGAAGAAAATAAGGTATTTATTTCTTATGATCATTTAAGCTTGTATCTTTGTTCGTCTTAAGTATTCCTCTCAAACCCAATCTTTGCCTTGGACTTCTGCATGGTGATAGTTTTCCTGGTAATATTTTATATTTGAAAGAACTAGTTGAAATAATTCTTTTATTATATATTTGGAACAGCACGAACTTAGCTCTGTGGAAACTATATAAATGTCTGTGATACACAGAAACTCTTTTTTAGAAAAACTGTAAGAAAGGCAAGCAAATGTATTTATAAAGCATTGTATAAGGTGTATCATGGGGAAATAAAAATTCAGGCTGATTTTATCTACTCAGCTCTTCCTCACATTTGGTTATGATGCAGCAGGAGATCTGGACACAGCCAAATGCTTCATTTTTCATATGCCTTTTACCACCTTATCAAGTACTGGTTTTCAGCTGGTAGTTTTGGCTTGACCATTCCACACCTGGAAGAAGATGTGGTGCCTATATCTTTACTCCCTGAAACTCTAGAGTCAGCACAAGAGAGCAATAAGTAGACTATGAGCCTTTGAAGAAATAAAAATTAGGTCTTTGGAAAATGTTCGAATCTTGTCTTAAATTTTCTACAAAGAGCTATAATGACCTCAAAACATGGTAAGATGACTATTACCTTTCTGCATTTTACAAGGGAATGATCTTTTTAAAAGAAGATATAAAGAGTTTCTATTAGTTTGAGTTTTACCAAAAGCAGATCCTTGAAGGATTTGGGTGAAAGTAGTTTGGGAAGTGTTCTCAAAAAATGCCCCGTGATAGTGGGGAAGGGAGGTAGGGATAGGAAGACAGACAGTAAAATGTGTTTTAAGGAGATCATTGCAGTGGGCAACAGGGGCTCAAGCCACATAAGGATTCTCATAAAGACTGTGTGAAACCCCATTCAGAATATTCCTCAAGTGGGGTGAGGAAGTTTGAGTGTTTATCCACTGATTCCTATCTCTAATTGTCTGAGGATCATTCTTGTAGTCCTAAGTTCCTAACACTTCTACCTTCCCCCAGATAGGAGCTGAGCATTACCCTATAACCAAAGAAATCATTCTGAAAAGGCGATGCATGGAGCCATGGCATATACAAGAACCAAATGCAGGTTAGCTCTGAGATGGGATGAAGGGATATGGGCAGGGTCCTCACAGGTTTATATTGCTATATTTCAGAGGGCAATAACATCTATGAAAAAGTAACCTTGTAAATACATTTTATGAGAGTTCAACAGGAAAGAAGAACCACTATGAATGATAGGGAATAGGGATCTGTTGGAGAAGTCTATGGAAGACAGTTGCTTCTGTGTCTGGTGGAGGGCCCGAGCTTGCTATAGCTTAGCAGGTATGGTAGTCAGGAAGGAAAGCTGCACGTGAAGTGGGAGTGAGTGAGAGGAAGTCAGAACCTTCAGAAACACTCTGGAATCCCTGAGGACAAACTGGAACCTGTTCTTGTTTCTCACTGCTTCCAATCTCTACAACGAAGGTGATCTGCAGAAGAAATGGGTGGTCTTTGTGAGAAGGTGGAACAGAGTACCTTGCCCCAGACTAGAGATGCAGCAGGTGCTCAAGGAGCTGAACTGCTCCACTGCTGACTCCTGCCAATGAAGTGGCTAGAGGTCTCCAGCAATGTGCATGAAATGCAACAGTGCCGGTGGCCTTCATCAACGTTCAGAACATAATGGCTACTGCTTGCCTCTGCCTTCCAAATCTCACAGGCGTTTCTTTTATAATCATTCTTTACCCACAAACATAAAGAGAAGAGAATTCAGGGCATTGCACTAAGTTTACATGGCACAAAGCCACCACATCCACATTACGTTTGTTAAATTCTATTTATAGGGAATGACACGTAAAATGTATGTAGACATTTGTGAAATCAAGGTGATGAGTGAACTTTAATAGTTCTAAGTGTTATTTTAGCTTCAATATTTAAAAATTTTTAAAAGTTTAGAGATACTAAAGTAAAACAGCCCTCTGAATTAACCTTTATTATAACAAAAAATTAAGCCAATTTCTCATGGTGTTAGATAATCAAGGTTTTATTTGATTAGGTTAATGTGTATATAGAGAGTAAGGAAGTATCTATCTGAATTATAAATCAAATAAGAAACTCCATATCTCCCCTACATTTTCAAAAATAAAATAAAATAAGATAAAATCATATTCTCTCATTGTACTATTGAGCTCTTGTTGGAAAATGGCATGTGCAAGACATGAGAGTAGTTGAATATAAAGATAAATGTTCAAATTTATAAAAACTGATTTCTGGAGGGTGACACCGAGAGTGAGCTGAGGCTTGCAAAAAATGGCAATGGCAACAAAAAGATTCTTTGAAGTTGTATTTGGAGCAAGAAAGAAACAAAGAAGAGAGGCCCTCTGCTGGGAGCAGATGATGTCACGCTAGCAGATGACAGAAAGAGCACAGCTCTTTAGCTTCAATTCTGCTAAGCCTACTCCTCAGGGAAAATTGTGTTCCAATGGGAAAGATATTTTAGAACAAATATGTTTAAAGACATGGAAGCCTGAGGAAGTGAAGGAGTCATAAAGCCCCTGTTTTAAATGAATTCAAAAGTCAGTGTCATCTGTTTGTTCATGCATTCATCCATCAAACATTACCTGAGTGTTTACCATGGGCCATATACTGCACTGAACAAGGGAGAAACGGTCATTCTCAGCTCCCACATTCAAGGATTTCATCCTCTAGTGGAGGAGTCAGGAAAGGAAATAAGCATATGAAGTTCTCTGGGATACTTCGTATGCCTAGTATTCCATGTTAGGGCCATGTGTAGGATTCAACGGAGGCCTAGCCTAGTGTGGAGAAGGGAATATTTGAGCTCACAGACTTCTCAGAGTCCTGAAGAATGGTAGGGTTCTACAAGCTAGGAATTGAAGAGCAGAGTTGCAGAAGGACACTTCTGGTAGAAGAAAATGCTTGTTCAAGGGCCCAAAATCACACCGTGTGCTATTGAGGGCATCTGCCTTTGTGATCACACATCCACTGTTGGCAGTTTTTGAGACACCATGGTAGACGGAAGAGGTTCCAGAAGACTGGGGATGATAACAACTTGATTTTCAAAAACGGGGTCATATAGAACAGCTCCTGTTTCTCCAAATTTTAACTGTTTTACTCGCATGTACAGATCCAATTTAATGCTCTTTTTACCAGGCACCTAACAGTGAAAGAGAGGCCTATACTTCATGCATGAGTGTTGTTGATGAAGAAGAAAGAGGTCCCAATTATACAGCCCCTCATTCTCCCACATTTGGTCCTAGATTCTGAAGGTGGAATGGCCTTTTGACTCTTACTCATTCCAGTGAGACATACTTGGAGGATTGTGAGCTGGGTGATCAGCGCTACCACCTACGGCCATGTAAAGTGTGCACAGCCCCAGAGGGTACCAGTCACAGTGGTGCTGGGGCTCCACACATGACATAATTAGGTGCAGTGACAGTTGGCTGGAGGAACAACTTAAAATAATGTTTATCAATGTGTTACCACTTCCTGGCAGGAGGTCTCTAGTGAGGCAACTCAGGGCTCCATAGTTCTGTCCTCCCCGGCAGCACTACTTTGGCATTGAAATGCGGTGACCTAAATTTCAGATGATAAATAACTGGAAGAGATAGCCTGTAAATTGGATGAAAAAGTCAAAATTAAAGAAAGCCATTGCTAGTTTACAATGAAAGGCCAAAACAAAGAAAGTGAAATTTATCACAGATTAAATATAAGACTCTGGATTTGGTTGGAAAAATCAATTTTATGAGTACGGGTTGGAGGAGACAAAATGATTTATGTAAAAGAAGGCTTGTAAAGTTTAATTAATCATGAGCTCAGTATAAACCAGTAATTTGATGTGGCTGCTGAGAAAACAAAGGTGATCTTTCTTTTTTTCGTGAAATTTTCCTTCCCTGATGTTTTTTTCAAATTACAAAATAATAAATGCTGGTTTTAAAACGTGAAGCCAAAACAAAAGTTTAAAAGCATGTAAAAAGGAAATACTAACCTCTTTTCCTTTCTAGTTCTTGGCCCCTCTTACCCCCAGCAAGGAATTCTCCACCCAAAATGTCAACAGTGCCCAGGTTAAGAAGCTTGGCTTTATATTGACACAGTCAGTGTATCTCTCTGCTTATCTTATGTCCTGTAAATTACTTCCAAGAAAATTTTTCAAGCCGGAATTTCCCCCTTTATAAAATAAGGATAATAACAGGACCCACCTCATAGAGTTGTTATGACAATTAGATAAAATAAAACATGCGCAACATTTAGACCAGTGGGTAAGAAAATCGGTGGAGGCACGGGAAAGAGTGAACCTTCATGCAGAATGCCACAGCCGGAGGAGGCTCTGGAGGGACATTCTGCCATGGGGAAGGAGGATGGAGGTTTTTGGTTTTGTTTTTGTTTTTAAACAGAGTTTCGCTCTTGTTGCCCAGGCTGGAGTGCAATGGCTCAATTTTGGCTCACCGCAACCTCCGCCTCCCAGGTTCAAGCGATTCTCCTGCCTCAGCCTCCCAAGTAGCTGAAATTACAGTTATGTGCCACCACACCTGGCTAATTTTGTATTTTTAGTAGAGATAGGATTTCTCCATGTTGGTCAGGCTGGTCTTGAACTCCCAACCTCAGGTGATCCACCAGCCTTGGCCTCCTAAAGTCCTGGGATTACAGGTGTGAGCCACTACGCCTGGCTGAGGATGGAGTTTTTACAGGGCTTTAGCAAAGAGGGTTCAGCTGAATCTCAGCTAGTTTGAGAAATATTTGCTCAAAAAGGGTCCTTAAAATGGGGGAGGAGGTGCTGGATGGGTGGTGGAATTTTTTTAGTCCTTCAAGGGCTTCTTATGCTGGTGCATAGAAGGCGCTCAATAAATGCTTGTTGATGTTGATGCTGTTGCTCTGTTGTCCCCCATTCTGGGCCAGGTCCCAGTAAGGCTGCTCACCTCTGGGAGGAGCCAAGCAGAAATCAAGGCAGAGGTTCTCCATGCTCTGGGAGCCCACAGCCTGACTCAGAAGTTCAACTGCACCCTGCCAAGGAGGGGATGAGCTCTGCCTTGTACATTTTGGTTCCTTTTTCTGGAAGGAGATGAAAACAAACCACATGAGAAAGGCAAAGGCTATTGTTTGAGAACATGCTATAGCAAGTGGGTTGGCCACAGTCACTCGTGTTTTGGCAGAGGCTCCCAGGTAGGCAGAGGAGTCTGGAAGTGGGCAAAAGGTCAGCTCCAGGTGTCAGCAGCTGGCAGCCTGTGGGATGGGTTTAGGGGGCATGTTTGGATTTCTCTGGTGGGCCCTGAGTTGGAAGTAGAGACAAAAATGAGTGAAGTTGTCATTTATATTAATCAATGCCTGGCCATTTTGGGGCGATTGTTAGAGAAGTTATTGTTTAGTTTCCTGGGTTGTTCTTAAAGATAGCAATCTGGCTCTCTGTGTGTCTAATAGAAACCGGGTTGCCTTCTTGGGCAGGTTGCTGCAGGGGTGGGTCCAAGTTCTATCTTTACATAGGTCCAGCTGTTGTTTGTATGTTCAGATTTGGCCTCTTGCTTTGCTTTCACTTTCCTGTTTATCTCTTCCTTTCTAACTTCTGGTTATTTTCTCTTGTCTGGGGCAGGAAAAAAATGGCTTTCAGTGATCATACATTCATTCAAAGCGATTGTTTCTAACATACATTTTATGAGGTAAGGGGCTGAAGATCTTGTTTCTCAGAAGTTCAGGTTCTTGAGACTTGACCCTTAAAATTCAAAAGCTAGGAATGGCATGCTTTTGTTCTCTTTGTTCTGTTGCACTAACCTTTCCCAGAGACAATGATGAGGAAGGACATTTAAAAAATTACTCAGCCCATTACACATACTTCATAAGACTTATTATATTTGCCATATGTGATACGGAGTTGCTCTCCCTGAGACTTCCAAACAACCCTAGAATGACGGAAAAATTATTGGAGGGCAAGGCTTTAGAGCCAGGACAGAAGGCAGAACCTACCATGTGGCCTTGTGATAACTCAGGTTAGGTGGAGGGAAGCCATCTTTCTTTTTTTAATATGTTACATTTGTTAAATTAAATTTGGCCTAAATCTGCCTCTGTACCTAGTGAGCTGCGACCTAACTTAGTATGTAAACTGCAACCAGAGTATATTATTGTAACAAATAGCTGAGTCTCAGCCAATCACAGCAGCCCAACCTAAGCCAATCATAGACTGCCAACTGATTGGACCATGTCCACATAAGGCACAGGCCTCATCACGCCATGCTCAAATAAGGCAAATCAAGTTGTTTCCGTATGTCCCTTCCTTTTTCTGTCTATAAATATTCCCTACCCATGTTGCTGGGTGGAGCCCTCTGAACATCTCCTGGTTCAGAGGGCTGCCTGATTCCTGAATTGTTCTTTATTTAAATAAACTTTGCTAAATTTAATTTGTCTAAGTTTTTCTTTTAACACACTGATTGCTGAATTAAGTTTACAGAATTTAGTCTGGTATTTCTTTTCCTTCTAGGCACAAATGTCAGTATGTGCAGGTCAGTTTTCCAATAGATTGTGGTTTTGGTTATAGCTCTTTAGGTGCATACATTAATTACAGGTAGAGTCTGTATTATATAACTGAAAAACAGTTCAAATGAATTTATTTGGTTTGCAACTCTCACAGGGCACTGGTATTTTCACTTGAGCATGAGGCTCACTTTTCATAATGAAAGTGCCTGAACATGGTTTTAGCATATCTCTTCAATTTTCCTATTTAAAATTATTACTAAAGAAAATACCAATTACTAGATAAAATAGAGTTCCAGTAAGTTGGGACTTTAGTCATATTTATTCTACTTGACTTTGAATTAAGCAATATTTTAAAATTATTTATAAACTAACTTTTGGATGATGCAAATTAAAATGTTTCAAGGTAAAGACAATAATATGATAGAACTACATGATAAAAAGAAACCACGTGGAGTAGCTTTTAAAATATCCATATCATGCTTGCCCTAATGAGATAGTTTTGTGATAAATACATTTTGCATATGACATTTAAAGCAATTGATTAAAGGAAAGGAAAGATTGAAAGTTAGCAGGAGTAGGAATAAGATTTTTATTTCAGTAGTTTCTTTTTATGATTGCATTAGTGGGCTGCCATCAGAAGGTGGTTCATGAAGCCTCGGTTGTAACCTGCTGGGAGGCTCACAGTTAAAGATTGCAGAGTTCTGTTTCCTGGGTTCTAATGACTCTTACTTGCAGAACTTGGGGTATATGAGAGGTGTTTTTATTGGTTTATATGAGTAGCTGCTTGCAGAAGACTTATAATTTGACTAAAGAGGGTATCCATAAAAAAGACATGGTCAGGTATGTCCCATTGCACTGAATACTAAAACGCCTTTGGTAGAGGCACGTTATGATTTCATTTCTGACTGTACATTGAATTATTTACACCTTCAAGGCAGCTGATTGAACTGTAACATCAGTCAATTAGCAAATCAAAAATTTATATGATTCCAATTTAGCATGGAGTCCTTCTCTCTCTCTTTTTTTTTTCTTTTTAGATTTCCACCCTGACAGTGACAAATTACTCCTCTGCTGGCTGAGATTGGAAATTAAAAGCATTTAGAGTTGCTCATGCATTTATGCTAATGAGAACTTCTGATATGATTTGCATGCAAAAGAGGACAATCTGAAAGCTCATCAGTTTTTCATGCTTCCGCATTTTGATGTAGCAGAATTTTTTCTGTTTTTCTGTGGAGCAAAATTTTTTCTTCAGGAAACAATACCAAGTGTGAACAAAAAGAGTTCTTTTAAGTCAGAAAGTTCTTCTTTTTTACCCTCCAGATTCTTGTCAAATCCTATGCTCACTCTTTCAGAACTGCAGCCCACATTCATTAGCATTTTAGATGTTTATCAAAGGAAAGATCCAGTATCTGCCAAGCAAGATTATAGCTCAGCTTCATTTTCAATTCAGCAAAGGGGGCGAAAAAGACCCGGGGACAGATGAGAAAAGGGACATGCACCCTGACAATCTTCTTCATACTTAACACCCGAATTAATCCTATTTAGAGCAAATTTGATTAATCACCGAAGGTGGCAGTTTTAACTTTCATAGATGGCACTGACAAATTTTAGGCATGGTCTTAGTATAAAACTCCTCCACCGATATTTGTATAGAAGACAGCAACATTAAAAATAAATACAGAAAACTTGAAGGGAAAAAACAAATGAGGAAGAAATGTACTAAACAGAAATTTTGAAAGGGATTTATTTCCATAAATATGTACTTATTGAACTACTAACATAGCAAAGAGTGAATTAAAAGGATGGGAAATATGTAATTTAAAAAATTTTTTATTTTTCTTAGAAATTAATCCCTTTCTTGCGATTCTTCTGATTGGGTGAAAGTTAAATGTTACATTATCAAAATGTAGTTGATGCTGTAGAAATTGTATTTTGTCCAAATACATTTGCTTTGTTATTACTGTCAACTCTGATTATTTGAAGACTTTATTCACATTTAATGCAGCTCAGAACTTGTTTTGCCCCAGCTATTTAAAGGGCAATGTACTTTACCCATATATATAAATATAAATATACTCTCCACTCAAATAGAAAAGTCAGGCGACTTCTTCTGTTTTAAATGCATGTAATCTCCTTATTTACCTAAGACAGTTTAAGGATGATTCCATAGAATGGCTGTTTGATTCTGGAGTTTACTTTAACAATGAAAATGATGGCAATCTAATTGCCTACTTGCATCCAGTGCCTTTAAGCTGCCCTCACATAGAGAAATGTGCACAATTCGAGCTGCTGAGGGTATTGCCCAGAGTCTTTGGAATCCATTCGGATCACTACCAATTTATCTCTTAGGACTACACTGTTGCCCCATTCCCCACTCCCACGTCTCTTTCAGGAGCCTTGGGCTTCCATTTCACATTGTAACTTGACTAAAATGTTTATTTTGAGTGTCCATGGATTTCCACAAGTATGATGGACACCCTAAGCCAGGAATTCCATTTGGGGCACCATCTAATATTGACTGGCTGGCATTTGACCTTCACGTGAGAGATTCCTGGCTCTGAGCCCTCTAACTTTCTCTTAGTATGTTGACTTTTCATCTGGGTCAGCTCATAATTCAGCTTACTTACTTACCTACCAGGAGGGAAAGGGGATCAGATCCAATGAGATAATTATCTATTTTGGGAGTGCTGTGGACTGGATTGCATCCCCCCAAAATCTATACATAGAAGCCTGAACCCCCCGTGTGACTGTTTGGAGATAGGGCCAAGCAGGTGATTAAGCTGAAATGAGATCATAAGGATGGGGCCCTGACCCAGTGAGATTAGTGTACTTATAAGAAGAGACCACCAGAGAACTCTCTCTCCCTGCCACATGAGAACACAGCAAGAAGGCAGCTATCTGCAAGCTAGGAGGAGAGCCCTTACCTGGAATTGAACTGACTAGCACTTTGATCTTGCACTTCCCAGCCTCCAGAACTGTGAGAAAATACATTTCTATTTAAGCCACCTATGATATTTTGATATGTCAGTAGACTAATACAGGGAGGGAAGTAAGAAATGTATTATTTCTAAATGTGGAACTTAATCATTTGTTGTGATCTGCGCTATGCTTACTGCACATGGTATGGTCTAACATGACTGTCTTATGAAATGAACTTTTGATCTGTTATCCTCCATGACCATTTAATTTAGTTAATGTATCATCTTTGTATGGAATTATATAAATGAATACTCAATGGCAGACAGAAAATTTTGTTCACTGAAGATAGAGGCACATGCAATATATAAAAATTTGCTGAGCAGAATTTTTGCAGTAAGGTTACTTCTAGAATCCATCAGACATCTATAAACTCTTTCTGCCTATCCAATACATGCAGAGAGAAGACTTTGCCACACAGACATAACAGAATTCTTTGTATTCTTGGAGGAGAGTTATATAATCGTAAACTCAGGAGTTGCAGGTCTTCATCCAATGACTAAATTGAAAGAAGGAGCTAGAGGTAGAGCTATTATGACATAAAGGCAAGAGACTCTAAAGTTTGCATTTTGAACCATTACACAGAGACTGAGAATTGCTGTGATTGGAATGTCAGGTCTACTATAAAAATTATACTGGAATTTTTCTGAAAGAATTCCTGCTTTCCTTTCTTGTTTTTTTTTTTTTTTTTTTTTTTTTTTTTTTTGAGACAGAGTCTTGCTGTGTCACCCAGGCTGGAGTGCAGTGACATGATCTCAGATCACTGCAACCTCCACCTCCTGGGTTCACACCATTCTCTTGGCTCAGCCTCCTGAGTAGCTGGGACTACAGGCGCCCAGCACCACACCTGGCTAATTTTTTGTATTTTTAGTAGAGACGGGGTTTCACCATGTTAGCCAGGATGGTCTTGATCTCCTGACCTCGTGATCCCCCTGCCTCGGCCTCCCAAAATGCTGAGATTACAGGCGTGAGCCACTGCACCCAGCCTGTTTTCCTTTCTTTTAAGGCTATATGTGCAAAGGAAAAAATTAACATCATTTCATTTACTCCAAGGTGCATTTTTTTTCAGACTTTCTTAGAAAACAAACGACATCTTTGTGCTACATCTGATACTGGGCGATTAGTTAATTTTTTGATATCTGGAGAAGTATTAATGGCCAGGTGCCATGAGGCAGCTCTAGCTGCTAGAATGGGAGTGAGAACAGCCAGGAGGAGGCAGTGGCAGGGGTCTCAGGGCTGATGCAATGCTCTGTGCTATCCTGGAGGGATAGGAGTACTGAATTATTTTTCCCACTTTGCTTTGCCCTTGGCTGCCAAAAGCTATGTTTTCTAGTATAATTATTTATTCCTTCTGCTTGATAAAATTTGTATTCTGTTATTCTTATCATATATTTGCTTTTCATTATAAATGACCTCCAATTCTTTCAAGGGGTGTCAATGAATCTGGCAATCACTAACATTTATTACAAGCACACTAAGTGCTAAGTGTTGATGTGTGTTACAGTCCTATGAGGCAGGGAGTAGTTTACAGATGAGGGGATGTAGACTTGGAAAGGACATGTAGCTTGCCTAAGGCTCAGAGTTTCTGTAAGTGGCAGAGCCAGGACTAACATCTGGGCTCATCTGTCATTGAAGTTGACAGTACAGTGATGTTAGTGACAGAGGGTTGCTAGCTGGGACATCTTCAGATATAATGTCCTCAGGTATTCGTTGTATTTTCAACTCCAAAAAGGGATCAACAACATATCTCTTTGGAAAGAAGTCAATTTGCTGGATTCTATCTACTGTGTGTATATGTACAGAGCAGTGTTTATGCAGCATATTCTGGTACCTTTTTTTGCTGCTCCTTTGAGGGGGTTATTACAAAGAAAAGGTTCAAATTAATGATGCAAATGAAGTTCCTTGACCCTTGCTTTATCAGTGGAGTTCCATCCAGAGTTAAGACAGGCTCTAGAATCTGCATTAATGTTACTTCATGGAACACATCTTGTGCATAGCAAAAGCCCCATCCATTTTCCATTCTAACAGATCCTCCTGCAATATATGCTTACAGCATAAGCTCATATTTACTACACCAAACCATTGTCTGTGTCTTGTTGCTCATTCATTTATTGAAGGCTTTTGAATGTGTTATGCTAGAGAAGCCAGGCAGACAATACTATTTCTTTAGCACATGTGCTTTTGGGGCACAATTCTTCCTGCCTTGACAAATTACAATGATGGTTTTGCCAGATGGAATATGGACTCCCCAAGGAAATGTGGGGACTGCTAAGGACTCTGCAAAGGCAGCAAAATGTGTTCCACTTGGAACAGGAGTTGATAGTCAGAAGTCAAATAGAGGTTGTACCAACAACCATTTACACTTATAAAGCCACCTTTACAAAGGAATCCCACGGCACAGTGCGTTTAGACTTTTTAAAATGTCAGTGGTTAAGGACAACAGAGAGCAGCGGCAAACATAACCTTTAGTGTAGCCCTGAGTACTGACAGAGAATAAGAGGTTGCGTGCTTTTTATAGGAAGCGTATTATACTCACTGCATTGTCTCAAACCACCATTGTTCCAAATGTGAAACTTTTATTTGATACCAGTGGATTTTGGTGTTGCTGTGTGATGGCAGAATCTGATCCTAATTCAGCAAGTATGTCTAAGCTTTTTGCTACGTGAAATAAAATTGCTACAAGGCAGCACTACTTTGTTGAGTCTACCAACTAGGGTTGATAACTTTGTTCTTTTAAAACAAGATACAGCCACCTAAGTATTCTATGTTCACACTGCAACAAACTTTCTAAAATTTAAACATGCTTGTCTGTTTTGATGCCTTGTCAAATTGTTGTTCTTTTTGTTTTTATTGATATATAATAGTTGTACATATTTTTGGGGTAAATGTGATATTTTGATACATATACACAGTGCATAATGATCAAATCAGGGTAATTGGGAAATTTATTGCCTCAAACATTCACCTTTTTTGGTTGGGGAGAGAGAACATTTCAGTTCTTCTCTTCTAGCTATTTTAAAATATACAATAAATTGTTATTAACTATAATTTCTCTACTGTACTATTGAATATTAGAACTTTCATCTAACTGCATTTTTAGACTCATTAACCAACTTCTCTTCATTCCCACCTCTTCCCTTCCCAGCCTCAGTATCTATCATTCTACTCTCTAATTCCATGAGATCCAATTTTTTTAGCTCCCACATGTGAGTGAGAATATGTGATATTTGTCTTTCTGTGCCTGTCTTATTTCACTTAACATAATAACCTCCAGTTCCATCCATGTTGCTGCAAGTGACAGGTCATTTTTTGTCCTTTTTAAGTTGTTGTTCTTTTTATTCCAAGCTGACAATATTGATAATTAACAATGCCCATGTAGGTGTCAATGGGCTTCCTTGCACTGTGCGTGTATAAAACTTCATCTATGTTTTATAGATGTAATGGTACACTTCATTGTAGAGAACAGTGTTGTTTCAGTTCTGAAACTTTAGATTTGTAAATTCTAAAATTTCTGATTTGACATCTTCTTTTTGGTTTCCTTAAACTAGAAAGTTGTCATTTTCTAAACAAGCAACCCATAAAATGTGGCAATTTATTGAATAAATCTAAATTTTCATTGTAGGATATGGATGTCTTTTTTGTATAGTTTTATAATATCCAAAAGGTTGAGATAAGGAAATAGATGACAAGTCAGGCAGTTGTCAGAGAGAAGTTCTAAGAATGTTATTCATTGCTTCATATTATCAATTCCTTCAGAAATCTGACTCTCCGCCCCCCACACACTTTTTGTGGTTATAAAAGGTGAATGAAGAACTCAGAGATATTTCAGATGGTTTCATCCTCAGCTCCTAAATTTTATCTTTAGAGGATTCCCTTTGATTTATCTTTATGATTCATTTTTTAGTCTCCAGAATTATAAAAGTGAACTAATTTTGTCTCTAAATATAAATCAGAACTAATTGATAATAGTTTTCAAATTACTTTGAATTTATCATGAATCTGACTTTTGAAACATGAACAGTCTTTTAATGGATTATAGATCTTCAAACTTTATCATAAAACACATAACATTTTAGCAATAGGAAAGGTATGCTAAATTATCTATCTCACGTTCTGACATTCCATGTAATCTTTGTGGGTAAGGACTTAAAATAATAAAAACTCATACTTTCTCTCTTCCTCTCAACTGGCTGGAGGAGTCAGCTTCAGGATGCAAGTCTGCCATTGGCTAGGTTAATGCCATGCTGTAAGTTTCCTTTGGATATGCTTCACTCTGAGGCTCAGGCTGGAAGACTATTGGCTACCTGATGTATATTCGCATGGAAATGGTAGAAGCTCAATAGAGAAAACCCAAATGGGTACAGTCACATCCCAAGTCTCTGCTCTGTCATGTCACTATTGTCTTATTCACCAAAGCAAGTCAAATGACCAAACTCGAAGTCAGAGAGTAGGAAAATATCCAGTGCCTCCATCAGACCATGGCAGACATGTGGCTGTGTGTTACTAGTGTAGGGAACTGACACTTGTGACTGATCAATCCATTTCTCCTTAAACTAGCGATAGTGGATGATGTTATCTACAATTGCTAATCTACCACAAACCTCAAAGAGGTACATAGTATTATTATTAACATCACTTTACAAAGGAGAACACTGGGGCAGAGAGGGAACTAGTAACTTGCTGAGGATCACACAGCTGATAAATAGCAGAGCTTGGATTCAAACCATGTAGTCTGGCCTCACAGTCCTGACTAACCCTCTGTATGGGCTTAGCAGCTCGAAGCACCAATTTCTCTCTTTCTGACATACTAGAAAAAGTAAAATGTGATTGACACAATGGTGGCAGATCGCAAAAAAATCAAGAAATGTGTATTTTCTATTAGTGAGAGGAGGCGTTACTGTAAAGCAATAAGCCAATATCACTGCCACTCAACAAAAGCTTCAGAACCACAAGGAGATAGAGTGGAAGGTACATGGGGGAGAAAGTTTAGAGCATGATGACATAGCAGATCTAAGAAAATAATAGCATTGCCGGGTGCGGTAGCTCATGCCTGTAATCCCAGCACTTTGGGAGGCCAAGGCGGGCGGATCACGAGGTCGGGAGATTGAGACCATCCTGGCTAACACGGTGAAACCCCGTCTCTACTAAGAATACAAAAAAATTAGCCGGGAGTGGTGGCGGGCGCCTGTAGTCTCAGCTGCTGGGGAGGCTGAGGCAGGAGAATGGCATGAACCCGGGAGGCAGAGCTTGCAGTGAGCTGAGATCGCGCCACTGCACTCCAGCCTGGGCGACTGAGCAAGACTCCATCTCAAAAAAAAAAAAAAAAAAGGAAAGGAGAAAGAAAAAAAAAAAAAAAGAAAATAGTAGCATAAGTCTGGGCCAAGATTCAAAAAAAGGAGTTATCATAGAATTGATTCAAAGATGCCTTAGGAAAGTAGGCAGGATAAGACAGCACAACCTACCTCTGATTAAAAGATTGAGATTTACCATAAAAATACCCTAATAAATGGACTGAAGACACACCATACAGAAATACAAGAACCTAAATAAAAGATGATGAGAAAATAGGGAGAATTGAAACAAGACCCTGGCAGAACTTAGGAAAAAAAAGTAGAATAAAAAAATGCAGAAAAGAAATAGCAAATTGCACAAATAAAAACTACACTCTAGTAAGCAAAGACAGAGATTTAAAGGGTGGAGCCAAGAATAGTGATCAAAATAAGATGAAAAATTATGAATTTATTTTAAAAGATTAGAGGGAAACTTCCAATATAGTATAAAGCAAAAGTGGTACAGCATATACATAATTGCAGTGTAAAAAGAAAAGCAAGAAAAATAGGGGAAATATATTTAAAAATACAATTCAAACATATTTTCAAAAATAAAAGAATATTTACAAATATATTTAAAAGTCATATCCCATGCTGAGGGAAAGAACATCAGTGTGGTCAACACTGAGGTGTAGCCTAACAAAATTATTGGTCTTTAAAGAAAAATAAAAAAGAAATCTCTGTACAACCAGCTTACAAGAGGAAAGTATCACCCTGGCTTCAGATTTCTTCACAGTAACATTTGATTCTAGATTTGAGTAGCAGTACAAAATCATAAAAGCTATTATAATGCCTCAGCAACTAATATGTAAAATAGAAGAATGGAATAGAGTAGAATAGAAAAAAGTCTGGAAATAAGCACCAAATACATAAGAATGTAGGATTTAGGACAAAATGGCCTCGCAAATCAGTGGTACAGACAGATTGTTTAACTTATAGTGTTGTGACCACTGAATGGTCATCTGGGGAAAGATGACATTGATTCCATATTTCATATTTCTTGCTAGGATAAATTTTAAATGAACGAATGAATTAGATGTGGAAAATAAAACTATGGAAGTTCTAGAAGAAAACATGGAATAATTTCTTGAAACTAGAATGTCTTTCTAATCGTAACTCTTAATTCAGATGCTATAAAGACTGATAAACTTCAATAAAAATAATGATGTTATGCAGGCTGTAAAAAGGGCATATGTAAAATCAAAAGACAAATGACCAACAGGGAAAGTACATTTTCAACTTATGTAATAGACAAAGAGCATATATTTAGAATTCTCATAAATCAATAAAAAAGCAAAATATATAGAAGCAGACAGTTGAGAAAAAGCCTTTATCAACATATGGCAAGATGTTTTCATCATAGTAAGGATCTAAAAATAAAGCTAAAGTGTTTTGTTTTTTGTATTAATCTGGATACCTAAATTTGATAGTATATTCTATTGCTGAGACTAAGGATTTGGCCTCTTCATTCATTGCTGGTGAGAGTGTAAATTTGTACAACTGCACAGGGCAGTGATATCATCTTAAAATATCTATTATTTTAGGCTTCTTTTCCCTTCTTTAGATTTTATTTTGGAGAGTGTGTTTCATTTTTATTTCATCATAAGCAAGTGTTAGATTTTGTCAAAGAATTTTCAGCCTCTTTCAGTGAGGTTATCATGATTTACTCCCATACTCAGTTAGCAAATGCATTACATTAATAAAAATGACCTGATTGAACCATTCTTTTCGTATCAGTCATGGTAGGGTCAGGAAGATGGACACCCTGCCTGGTGGTTCAAAAGTGGGAATTAAATGTAGGGAACTAGTTACAGATGTGTTGGGAGGGCTAAAGGGGATGGCTGGGGATGCTAAATTAACCCACAGATTGTGACAGCAGGAGCCACTACCATCCCTGGGGCTGGAGAGACAAGCAGAAGCCTTAGGTTGCTAAGCCACTGGAGAGTAGTTTACCCAGACCAGCAGGGGGTGGGATCTCTGAGGATGGACAGCCACTGCTGGTGATGCCACCAGAAGTTGTAAGGTTGGAGAACTAACCACAGATTTTCTGCAACTTCTGCCCTCCAATTTCCTGTAATACCTCCCATTGGCTAAACCTCACCAGAAGCCAATGCTTAAGGAAACCAAAGACATGAGGTATTCAGATTAAGTTCCTTTCCCATGCAGAGCAGAACAGGAAAATGATCTCTACACTCATGTCCTGGTATACATTGTACTGGCCATGATATAAAATTTATTTTAATACATTGCTGAATATATTTTGTTTATATTTTACTTAGGATTTTGCTTCTGTATTACTGAGATTGGCTTTATACTTTTGTGTGTGAGTGTATGATGGCTAACTGCAAGTTTTGGTAATGGAGTTACATGCTACATTCTCTAGAGGCTGTGGAACATGTAGTACATGTTTTCGTGCTCTGGAATGTGAGGATTATCTTTCTCTTGATCCAATTTTATTATTTTACAACTTTTAAAGTTGAATTTTATATTGAAAGAAAATCTCCCCCATATCTTTTGTTATATTTCTTTTCTCACTTCCACTGTTTTATGTTTTATTATTTTTTTAACTCAGGCCTTCATTCTTTTTTTCCTGTTTAGATTTGCCAGGGATTGGCGTTTCATATATATGTTTTTAACTTTAAAATACATGAAATCTTTCCTACAGAAAAGATTAAGTGCCAATAGATACCAAAGTTTTACCATATTCTCTTCATTTCATTTTTAACTTTTAAAATAAATGAAACAGTAGGTAAAGCTAGAACTCACCTGTTTTCTTTCATTTTTCTCTTGCTTAAGAGGGTAGATGTGTCTCATTCCATTTCTTTTTAAATACATTTATGCATTTAAAATCAATATGTACTATTATTTTGTGGTTTTAATTTCCAAAATTTTGCCGTATAGTAAACATCACTTTGTGCATTTTTCTCTTAATAATAATATTTTTAGATTTATGATATATGTTGGTGTTTACAGATCTAGTTTATTCACTTAAACTGCTCTGTAGCACTCAAACTTTCTGAGTAAATCTCTGTATCTTTTACTCTAAGACAGGTTATTTCTAAATTTGTTTTTCCATATTATATGATGATCTTTTCATTTTTTTATGCAGCTATACAGACATTCTCTAAAAAGACTATTTAAAAACAAAATTGCTTGATAATAGAATATTTCTAAATTAAACTTCACTCAATAGTGCTAAATTTTTTCAAAATTTTTTATTGGTTTACACTCCCACCAGCAATTCCCACTGTACTACACTTTCATCAGCATTTGATGGTGCCATTTTAAATTTTGCTCATGTATTTTTAATTTCCACTCAGGTTTCTTGCTGTGTGAATTGTGTGGTAATATCCTTTGCTAATTTTTCTATAGGTTCTTTGCATTTTTCTTACTGATTTGTAGGTATTCTTTATATCTTCTATACTCAAATGGTGTCCTTGGTATATTGATCACAAATATCTTTCCTCCTAAATGACTTTCTTTTTCTTGAGTCATCTTTTGTAAGTTCAAACTTTTTATTTCAATGGAGTCCTATTTAATGAATTTTTCTTTATTAGATTTTATTTCATGTCGTATTTGAGAAATTGTTTCCTATCCTAATGCCATGAAGTTATTCTAAATGTTTTATATCTTTATTTTTTATTAAAAGTCTTTCTTAGTAAACTGTGTATTTAATAAAAATTCAATGCATACTTAGGTCTTAATCCTTTTGGGATAAATTTCTGTGTATGGTGTGAGGTAGAGATCAACTTTTGTCTTTTTCTGTATGCACGATCAACTGCCCCTTGACATTTATTGAATAAATCATGCTTTCTCCACTGATTTGTATTGCCATCTCTGCTACATATTAAGATTTCATTTGTATGTTTCCATGATGTGTTTTCTGTACCTGTGGAAAGTTTTATCTATTTCTATACTAATTTCTCCTTGTTTTAATTACTATAATTTTATAGAAGGTTTTGATACAAAATAGAGTGTCCATTTTTGTTCTTCTTGAAAATTGTGCTGGATATTCTTTAGCTTTTATTCTATTACATGAATTTTAAAATCAGTTTTTCAATTTTCATGATATCCTTCTTAGGGTTTTGATTGAGATTAATTTAATTTATAGACTAATCTTGGGAGAATTGATAGCTTTTATAATATTTATTCTTCCCATTTTTTTCTTTTAACTTATATTTCCTATGTGGACTTTCTAGAAAGTCTCACAACTTTCATCATGAAGGTCTTTTGCTTCATTTACTCCTTAATGTTTTGGTGTTATTGTTGTTGTATATAAATGTTATCTGTTAGGAAATTATGATGTCTAACTATCAACTGAGGAAAAGAGGAGAACAAAGCATGCCAATAGAGCAGGAAAGGCAGAATTTCACTAGACGGAATCTTTTAAAGTCAGGTGGTAGCAAGGCTATGGCAGTGTCTAATTCAGGGGAGGGATGAAGAGACACGTTGGTCAGCATATATTTGACTCCAGATTACCAGCCCTTAATTGGAGAGCTAATATAACTCACACATATACAGAGGGCAGCTGGTATTTGTCATCTCTATCTGAAGCTTGCTGGTTTGCATGTATGGAGCAATAGCAATAGCTAAATTGAGGAACACACTGGCCAAACCATGAGAAGAGAGTTACACTGGACATTTATAATACAATAGTGATGGCTCTAATTTTCTAAGATAGATTGAGATTGATTTTAATGTATATAGCATATATATGGCTTGGCCTTCAAATCTCAGCTGAGCTCCTACAAAACATAATGTGGCTTAGTGGGAGGATTTTAGGAAGAGGGGACAGAGTTTTGACATTTTATATATAACATATTTCATTGCTTCTCAGATGCATAGGAAGTTCAAAGAAACTTTACAAATTTGACTTCATGTTCCTTTCTTCTCAATTTACAGTAAAATCTCTATATTTTACTCCATTGATTCAGGCTTTATTGATATTCCCTTTGATGCAAGGTTATTCCACTAGAGCACACCTACAAAATTATGAAACTCAAAGTGTGTTCAAGTAACTGCAGTACAATCGGCCATGAAATAAAATAAATTCAGATAACCAACAATCTAAGCTGACTCACTCATGAATGCACACACACAGACACACACACTCGCTCTTTCTCATACACGTTCATATCAGTCTTACTTTAAAAAAACTCATAAACAAGTTTTAATATTTCATTATAAGTCATTTTATGAATATTTACAGAAAATATTTGCCAGTTTACCTACTATTCCCCTTTTTTAAAATCTTTTTTTTAATCCCTGCATTTCCTTTTTGATTACCAATTCCCAGAGGGCCAAAAATCCAGCCTTCCTATTTATATAAGCTCACATCATTCCCAATTCATGTTATACTACAAAGTCCATAATCAGTAGAGAAAGTTCTAGTGTTTTTCAAAGTATCATATATCAACCGTTTGATGTCTCATTCTAACCCCTGACTTGATCTATATCAGGCAATACATAGACTAAAATACAGGACTGGAATGAATTCATTGCTAATCTTGTGAAGATTCAAATGCAAACATTAAACATAAAGCAACATTTCAAAAAAACTACAGTTTCCCCCTATCTAGATATTTACTTAATGTTAATTTTTCTACCTCTAGCAAATGTTGCTGTAATGTTTGTGAAGCAGACGTTTTTCCTCCACAGGAGCATTTGGGACCTATCCATGTACTACAAATAAGACTGAATGAATGAGAAGGCAAACGTCAAAATGTACAGTGGGAAATGGGTTAGGAAGATATTTTAAGGAAAAATACAATGCAAAAGTAGTTATATGAAGGGAGGAGGCAAAGAAAGAGAGGAGGAAGCAGTGTCATCACCTAACAGGAGCTCATTAAACAGACACTGATGAGAGAAGTCCAGTGTCTAAAAGCTATTGCAAACTGACTTGGGAACAGTACTTGGAAAAGGGGTGACAATTTGTATTCAAATTTCAAAATTTTTTTTTGATGTTTGAAGTTAATTTCTTTTTAAATTTACATACAGGAAGATTTATTCTTTGAGGGGTGGCTCTCCTAAATTCCAACACGTTCCTATAGCCTCTAGAGATCATTGCAGTCACCTGTCTAAATAAAGTCAGCAGTGAATGAACGCAAACACAAACATACACACATACAACATCCCCTCCTTCCCCTCCCCAGCAACCTTCAAGAAATGTCATGGGATTTCTGGTCCCAACACACAAAAGACCAGAACATTCATTGAAAACAGGACAATAGAGATCTTGTTAACATTCTAGTGATCTCCAAGGACATAGTAAGACTGTCCCGCCCCAGAGACCTTCCCTATTGTCCCAGTGACAACAATTTATAGCCTGCAGTGCTAAAACCCTGCACCCTGGCTTCATTTGAATCACCGTTTTGTTGACTTATACTTTAAGATTTACTGAGACTCCTTGTCACTAAGATTTGTACCAGTGAGATAAATACTACTGAGTTAAAATTCTCTTCCTTTTCGGTTAACTTCCTTATCTTGAAAGAATATCTTACTAATATGGAAAAAGGTTATCTCTTAAAGCTTTCAGAGGAGTTTTGTAATTTTATTGGATTGAAAGCTTGCATTGTGTCACTATTTTTTTTATGTTACCTGGCACAGTCATAAGCAAAAATGTTGTGATGGTCTCATCAGAAATTCCATGGTTAAATTATTTTCAGAAAAATAATGTAAAAGATAACAAACTTTCTTTTCATCCATGAGGATACAATTTTAGAGATATAATTAAAAGACTTTGGAAGGTGTGGGGGAAAATCCTGTCCATTTATACTCAGAATAATGCTCTTAGGTACAATATAGCACACCTGTGAAAAACAGAGAAATATGCTCCCTTGGTATTTATCCATTGCATTCCAAATAAAATGGAAATACATGACCTGAAGTGGTGTGTGTACATGTATTTCATTCCCCTTTTAACACCAAGACACAATAAAGTTGGGTGGGAGTGAGACTTCTTATAGCAGTTAATACAGAAATTGATGGTTAAATAGAAGATCGATAAAGATGCCGCTCTTTTACCTATACAGCACTGAAAATACTATTGCTGGTTCAGTATACATTAAATAATTTCAATAACTTCACTATTGGACTTTGAAATATAAAGTTATTTTACTAAGCACTGCCCTAAGGATTTTTTTTTTGGAAGAGATGCATAATTTGTATTAATATTTATTTTCCAAATAACTTGTTGTTTTAATATGGCTTATTCATATTTGAAATGGGACTTCCTGCTCCACCCCACTAATTACCACATCTCCCTAAAACTCAGCTGGGATCATCTAAGGGAAGGAGGTCTGTACCCAGCTGTCTCTATCCTAAGGGGTAGGAAGAGTCACTTATGGCAACATCTCCAGGGAGATTTTTTTGACTGAAGCTCTTCTAATTTCCTTGGTAAAAGAGCCTGTCTATGTTCTCCTTGTAATACTGCCAACAACTTACATGTGTATGGCAAGAAGCTGATTTTTCCTGTGTTGGGAAAAAGAGGCTCCAGCAGTCTGGATTCACCAGCTATTAAACATATAGATTAGAATTAGACCTGAGTGAAGATTCTTGTGCAAGCCAACATTTTTCATACAGCTCTAATGAGCCCCTATTGTATTGGCAAGCCTTGACCTCTAAAGCTCTCGAGTTTGCCCTGGTGCTCTGTCTATAGAAGACATGGAGAAAATTGTGAATTCAGGTTAACTCTCCTGTAAACACAAGTGAACTATAGGAGCAGCCCCCGCTAAATCTAGGAAAACGACTAGGGAATTCTTTGGTTGTAAGAACTGTCTTGTGTCAGATGATATCTCAGAGATGGCTTCTAGGAATGCATTTAGTCAATTTTTTATTTTCTTCTATACAAGTGGGGCCTAGGCTGTATATTCAAATGGGATTTTGATTGTGAGCTCTCTTGAGGAGGTAATACAGTCCATATGATGCTTTCTATGTAGCAATACATAATAAATGTTATACCCAAATAATTAGACACATGATTAGTTACTCATAAAAGTTCACTGAGCACAGGGTGGTAGTTTGCAAGGAAGGGACTATTTTCCATCGAGAATTAAGTTTAGGTCAGACCTTACTGACCATAGGCAGGAGACTATATTTTTCTAAAACAAAGACATATAGTCTCAAACAATTAAGGAGTAGTCAGTGATAAGCCTATCCTGCATTTCCTCTGCTTCTTTAGAAATTTAATCTCTATCCACGTGAAAATGTCTGTCAGTCATTGACAGGTATACATTTTAACTTCAGTTCTTTATATCTCTCAGACAGAATTCTATCACTAGTATCTGAAAAATTGTAGCTCTATGAGGTTAGCTTTTATCCAACTCACATAGACTGCCTGGCGTAATTACTAAAGGTCTGATGAGTGAATGAATAAATTAACAAAGGCTCAAATTCCTCATACATATTACCAGACTTCAAACTAAACGCACTATTGCTGGTAGATAAAGATTTTATGAGAGTAGAGAGAAAGAGTCCAGGGTCACTTGTTCATAGCCATTGAATGTCAATAAAGCTGAGTGACTCCCAGACCACAGTGGGCTTGGTTGACTTACACGATGTTTTCGTTTTTGAAATGAACAATTGGGATTAGGATGTGGACTTGGCAAATAAGTGTGAGATCCTGGTTCTAGGCAAGAGTCACTATTTTTCTTTCCTCTTTCCTTTCAAAGAAACGTATTACTAACCAATTAAATTATTTCAAATTATTACTGACAAATTATTTTAAAATCTAGTTTTGACTCATAAGTCATGCTCAAAAATCAATAAGTCTGGACTCCACAGGAGTGTGGTAACTCTTATAAACAAAGAAGTAAATATTCAGGAAGACAAAGCTACATTTGATTTTTTTAAGTAGAAATTTTTAAAACATAGCAATCTAATTATGGAGGTATGACTAACTATAGATATCTCAATAGAGGTCAGAGAAAAACCTTCCCTACTTGAATCCTTTATAAAATACTACTATAAAACTTGAAGAACACTTCAAGTTTTCATCCAATCCAATTAGCAGATTAGCTAGCAAACCCTACTACGTGAAAATGTCAATATTAACAAACAGTTTACTGAGGAACAACAAAAATATGGCTGGAGATAATTGATTAAGAGAGAAAATTATTACAGGAGCTCCAGACTAAGAGGCCAGAGATCTAAGCCAGCCACACTGACGGTTGTTAGACCAAGTATCTGGGCATCACAGCCTAACCAAATGGACACATACAATTAACCATCATAATAGGTCTTGAGGTTTGCCAGAAGACTGTATTTGAAGAGACAATCTTGCTCAGTTCAACCCTACGCTAGTTCTCACCTTCATCCCACAAGGCTTAGAAATCTAATTTTTGTCAACAACTTGAGAGGCATTCTACCTTTAAAGATAAGACCTATATTAACAGAGCTCACACGACTTGAAATATACCTATCATGGGTGTTAAAATCCTTGCATTGGCATGACCAGCACATTCTGTTTGTGTAAACACATCAACTTAAAAGCTAAATTGTAATCAAATGTTTGCTACGTGAACAAGAAGTCAGAATTCAAACGTTTCATAGCACAAGGTTAAGTTGGATTGGCGCATTCATCTCCAACATGGGAACATTATTGCCAGTGAGGTTGGAATGATGCCAGATGTTTGTTTTTGGCCAAGCAACTCTTTCCCTGGATTGAACTCAGATATACAGAAAGCACTCTTCTTTTCCAGGCTTACGTTGCAGACACTTCCCCTTTTGGTTGACACATTTTTTTATATGTTCATATATTTAATTATGTTAAACTAAGTTTTGCAGGTCTGATATTACCACTGGTACTTAATATTTACTAAGGAATGGAGAAAGAGACAAATGAGCAACCTTTAAACTCTAAACTTAAAGTCCATGTGTGCTCTAGTGAAAAGATAATTAATATTAGCATTGGATAGGCCTAGGTTCAGAATATTGTTACCAATTTCTTTATCTGTAAAATAGATAACACATTGGGTTATTTGAGAATTAAAATGAGATAATGTAGAAAAAAGAACCAGTGAATATATACTGACATAGAGGAAGTAATCAATAACTAATAATTACTTGAATTTGCTCCCCATCCCCTCCCCTGCCTTGAGATTTGTATGCATTTGAAGGTGGAAAAGAGGGAGATGTTAACTTTTATCTAGACTCAAGATGCAAATACTTGGCAGAGTTAGAGCCATAGTGTGTGATAACAAGTCATGACACACTGTATTAGTCAGGGTTCCCTAGAGGGACAGAAGTAATAGGATATATATATATATATACACGCACACATACACACATTCATATATATATATATATATAAACACACATGCACATATATAAAAGGCAATAGGATATATATTATTAAGTATTAACTTACATGATCACAAGGTCACACAATAGGCTGTCTGCAAGCTTGAGGAGCAAGGAGAGCCAGTCCGAGTCTCAAAGCTGAAGAACTTAGAGTCCGATGTTTGAGTGCAGTAAGCATCCAGCACGGGAGAAAGATGTAGGCTGGGAGGGTAGGCCATTCTAGCCTTTTCACATTTTTCTGCCTGCTTCATATTTGCCGGCAGCTGATTAGATTGTGCCCACCAAATTAAGGGTGAGTCTGCCTTTCCCAGCCCACTGATTCAAATGTTAATCTCCTTTGGCTGCACCCTCACAGAGACACCCAGGATCTATACTTTGCATCCTTCAATCCAATCAAGTTGACACTCAGTATTAACCATGACAAGTCCACCCTTTGTCAACCTGAACCCATACACATCTCCTGAGATCATAGATAATTTTCAACTAAAGACAGTAATAAGGTCATAATTCCACCTAATACAACTATCCTTTGTACAACTGGAAGCACACCAATCTCCAACCCAAATACTATTACATAAAGTTGACAATACTTAAATGCTGATATGAAGTCAATTAATCTTATGTCACATGATAAAGGAAAAGGAAATAAAATGAAGATATTTTCTTAGTACAAGTGTATACCTGCACAAGCATGTTTTTAACAAAAGGAGGAGGAAATACTCCTGATAGTTACAGTCCTCATTTCTGCAGCTGGTCACGTGGTTTTAGCTGATATTGATGGCTACCTTCTTCTACTACCCATTCTGTATTTCCTTTGCCTTCAACAAGCACCTTGGCAGGCCGTGATTTTCTCTTGGTAGAGTGACCCAAACCTTCATTCCTGAGGGGTCTGGACTATTTGTAGTCCTGCCTGGATTGGGCTGTTGTAGTTTCCCATTGACCTAATCACAGGGCATGGTAATACTAAGAGATGCCCTAATGGATCTCCTGTATTCCATGCATACTCTTCCTTACCTCCATTATGGAGTAGTAGACTGATTTCATTTTGATAGTCTAGGTCAGTCACCCCAGCCGACACTGTAACTCCCTTCTTAGCCTGTTGACTTAAAGGTAGGAGGAGCCCAAAGAGTACAGGTGGCAATCTTAACCTCCAGTTTAATGGAATCCTTGTTGTGTCTCCTGGTGGCAGTGTTCTTCCCTCTGGAACTAAGACCTCTAGGCCAGCAGAACCCAATGTCACAGGAACAGGAAGCAAAATTTTTGCTAGTGGATCACTAGGGGTGAAACCCATGCCAGTTCTTGGAAATTCTAGGCAAATCGTCAATGAGCAAACAAATGACAATCTCAAGTAGTTCTATGATATGAGGCATACCCCACTAGTGCACGATAAAAGCTGAGAAGGCCTGTGTCTGAAGTCCATGACTGGTCTAATGAAGAATGTTGAGTCAGAAGGTCAATGATAAAGGATGCTACCAAATAAAGCATTCCCTTTCCAACAGAGTATGAGACAATGAGAATTACTGTGTCCCACATTTTGCTATGGTCTTTGCCTTCTATGTGTGAGGTTATGAACTCTATAAGCCGGAGGTTATATATGTTTGAGGTTATAAACTATAAGCCTGCTAGAAAAATAAATATATATATATTCATATATATGTGTATAATATGTATTTAAAAGTAATTTCTATATGAGACAGTATAACCTGACTTAAGAAGTACAGGTGGGGAGTTGAATGATTGGGTTTATGTTCTGATTTAGGCACATACTAGCTGTACAACCCTTGACATTTTACCTGAGAGCTCTAAACTTCAGTATCCTTATGTTAATAACTACCTACAGGGTTGTACCAGGGATTAAATAATAAGAAAAGCCCGTTGTAAGGTGCTATTCAGATGTTCATCATTCAAATATTCAAGTGTCAGTTATTACCATAATTAAATAGCTTTGTAATTGAAAAATTTTATGTATAATATTCTTTACATTTCTGTAATACTTGTCATTTGGGATCATAAAATCATCATAAAACTTAATTAATAGTGTATGTGTTATCTATCTACTATATTTAAAATTTTATTTGAAAATATACCTGGCTACACTAAATATAGTTTCCTTTGAATGGTGTCATTTTATTTTTAAAAGTACAAATATTTTAAAATAAGCTTAATAGTAATGCCTTTACTAAGTTTAGATTATTTTATATAAAAAATCACAAAGAACACGATTTTGCTCTAAACAAAGACAAAGGGAAGCTATCATGAGAAACTCAAATTCCTAAATTTCCTGGAAACTGGTCTAAATCCTCAGCTCTTAGCCAGAGGGGAAATGTGAGTAGACTTTAAACTGAGATAGTAGTTATTGTCTTCCCCCAGAGGTTTCCAATTGCAGGTCTAATCCAGTCCTCAGTGGCTGCATTTTAGATTCAATTTTGCTCAGGCATTTGCTACATTGTTGGGCAGAGCCCTCAGGGGAGTGAATTTTGAGGAAAGACCTGAAAGAAATAAGGGAAAGAGCTGTGCCAAGACCAGGGAGAAGAGTGTTCAAGACAGAGGTAAGAGCAAGAGCAGAGGCCCTGAGGTGGTACCCAGTTCAGCAAGTTTGAAAAGAAACAGGAAGCAAAAAGGGACAGGCAGGAGGATTCTCGTGTCCACAGAGGACCCACCAAGCAGAAGAGAGCACTGAAGGAAAGTCAGGGCCCTGGGCCCTCATATCTCTGGGTCTTTCTGATAATGTTCTCTTCACTTGGTGTATTAGTCTGTTCTCACACTGCTATAAAAAAATACCCAAGACTGGGCAATTTATAAAGAAAAGAGGTTTAACTGACTCACAGTTCTGCATGGCTGGGGAGGCCTCAGGAAACTTATAATCATGGCAGAGAGAGAAGCAGGCACGTCTTACTTGGTGGCAGGTGAGAGAGAGCCAGTAAGAGCAGGGGAAACTGTCTTATAAAACTATCAGATATGAGAACTCACTCACTATCATGAGAATAGCATGGGGGAAACCTCCCCATGATCCAATCACTTCCCTACCTGAACATGTGGGGATTACAGGTCCCTCCCTTGACATGTGGGGATTGCAATTCAAGATGAGATTTGGGTGGGGACACAGAGCCAAACCATATCACTTGGAATTCCTTCTTTTCTCTTTGATTTGCTCTCAACATGTTATTCATCCTTTAAGAACCAACTCCAGGCTGGGAGTAGTGATTCATGCCTGTAATCCTAACACTTTGGGAGGCTGAGGCAGGTGAATCTCTTGAGCCCAGGAGTTCAAGACCAGCCTGGGCAACCTAGCAGGACTCCATCTCTACGAAAGTACAAAAATCAGCCAGGTTTAGTAGCATGCACCTGTGGTCCCAGCTACTTGGGAGGCTGAGGTGAGAGTATCGCTTGAGCCTAGGATGTCGAGTCTGTAGTGAACTGTGATTGCACCACTGCACTCCAGTCTCGGTGACAGAGTGAGAGCCTGTCTCAAAACAACAACAACAACAATAACAACAACAACAACAACAACGCGAATTCTGCTCCCACTGTCCACCCTCTGGGTTCTCACAGCATATAGCATGTGCTTTCAGTGAGCACATGACTCCTATTCCATCTAGTATCATAATTAATATGACTTGCTATCTAGAATTTTACAGACTATTAAGTACTTACACATCCAGGTATCTTCTTGGTGGTCAAAACTGACCTGTAAATATCCTGTGGTCCTTGATGGGCAGAAGAGGAAGAACATTTCAGGGAGAAGCTCAGTAACTCAGGGGTAAGAGCACAGCCTTAGTCTTTTGCCCAAGCTGGGTTCATCTCACCACCCTTCAGCCTTAGTTATTTCTCTTTCTCTCACTCCCACCATTAGCTGTAATCAACCGGAGGGTGAAGGCTGTGTCTGAGCTCGTCTCTTTCCTCTTCTCTATACTTTCTGGAGCAGACACTGCTGGAATGTCACTTGGAGTCCTGGGTCAGTGTCCTTTTTTCTTCAATGGTCCCTGCAAATCCTCTTCTTCCTATAGACTCAAGCTACTGTAGCAGCTGGATCCCAAAGACAGAATTCAAGGAGTGTCAGGGAGTTTACCTTCCCTGGGGGGTGGTTTTAGCCAGTGGCTGACTGACAGGAACCCTTGCCTCAGATTGGGATAATCCTTTACATTCCAGGGCTCCTCTGAGGATTAGGCTGAATCTATTCCTCTCTGAGACTTTGCCTGAAATTTGCACTGCTTCCCACCTTCTGCCCTGGGAGCATGTCCTTTAAGAAATCATTGGTACATCAGTCCCCTTCTCAGAAACTGACCTTCCCCATGCCTATACCAAAAACACCTAACCCCAAAATTTTCCCCAGCCCCAGAGTCTAGCACATGTTGCTCAATGTAGCAGATAGATAAATGTTCATTGGTTGGAAATTGCTGTGAACCAACCTGCAGTAGATAGTCAATATACTGATGTATATTATCATTTGTTTGTGTAACAAGCATTACTATGGGACTGTCTTCCATGTATTTATTATTCCACTGCATTCATAAAAACAAACATGGCTCCACCTTAATCAGTTACAAGAGGGAGATTCTATTTTCAACCTAAGGGTATTTGTCACCTCGGAGTTGTTTTTCCCTATAGTATAAATTGTAAAAATATGTTAAATTTCTTCAAGTCACCAAGAACTGGGTAGCTCATTTAATTAATATACAATTTTCATAGTTAACACGAAGAAATATTGCATATAATATTTGTAACTTTAAGTATCGTTCTCATATGTTAAGGAAGGACGTTCAGTTTTTTTCAAGGAAAAGAAAAGTTTGTTAGGTTATCAATTTAAAAAAAATACAGACTTCTGAATGAAGGATTAATTTAAAATTAAGCAATCTAGATGTATGAAATGAGGCCCATAAATAATGGAAATGGAATGCTTTAGTATAATTATTTACTTTTTCCAGGAAACCTCATTGTCTGTTTAAATAGAAGCCCACCTACGTGCATGTGTGCACACACACAGGCCTAGATGTCCACAACACAGAATGGATTAAAGCATGTTTTCTCCACTTATAAATGCTACACGCTTAAATTTCTACAAAGCAGGGTCTTTCTACCCCTGCTTCATCCTCCTCAACCAGATGAGGGCTTTCCCTCTTACTAGGGTTTCCATGGTGGCATCTGGTAGGTTTAACTTGGCACTCTGCGTGTTCTCAACTAGCCTTACACTTTCCCTGAGCCAGTGGACTTTTGAGACAATTGGAGACATATTTGTATCCCTCACCACATTTTTCAAAGCCCTTTGCACATTGGAATTATTCATAAACTTTTAAGACTTAGTGAATTTATTTTTTTCTGATCATAAAATTGTACATACTTTTGTAGAAAAAGAGAAATTGCAGAAACATTTAGCAAACTGTAATAAAATTAGCCAAGATCTAATCACCCAGAGATTACCCTTGTTAATGTTTTAGGATAGTTCCTTTTATCATTTTTTCTATGTAAATTTAATACATATATACAAACACAATTATTGAGGAGTTATTTTTTAAGCTGTATCTTACTGTAAAAACAATTTGGTATCTGACTTCTAAAATTTAATATATCATTAGAAGTTCGCATTGCTTTATTCTACTAAGTCATGACTTTTATATGTTATTCAATATTCTATCACATTGCTATGTCATAATTTATTACAACCTCTCCATATTACTGGACTTTTAGATTGTTTCCAATATTTTGCTCTTATAAACATTATAAATAATCCTATAATAAACATTTTTATACATATACAGTCCTAGAAGTAAATGAATAAAACTATAGAAATACATTATTTTTGGAAAGTTTGTACGAATTTATTTTGTTATGAATAGTAAGAGTAGCTATTATACAATCCCCTCAACAACTGATGCAGGATTTTTTGCTTCTTAGTTCAGCTAAATCCAGGTTTGAGTCTCAACACCAAAAAAAAAAAAAAAAAAAAAAAAAAATAGGCACATGGGCACATTGAAAGGTGAGGTGGGTGAAATTTATTAAGCAAAAGGAAAGCTCTCAACAAAAAAAGGGTTCTTGTACTCAGGTTTTCCACTTTACAAAAATTGAATACCAGGCCACCACATACAAACTGAAGAGGCCCCTCCCCTGCATCAGGTGCAAATTCCTAGTGGTTCCAACCTGTCCTTCCAGTGTCCATGTGGACCATTAGTCTGAGCCAGTCTGCATTGATTTATTGATCTATTTCCCTTATTGCATATGTGTTAAGGGACAGAATTTTTCACTGTGGGGATGTTTAGGCAAGCCCCTGGTGCACAATGACCTGGGCAACATTTGGCTGTCTCCTGCCTCTATCATTCCCCCCTTTAACGAAGTACATCTAACTGCTGTTAGAATAAGGATAAGGACAATGACTAATCTTAACTGCTTTCTACTGATAGGAGGCACTATTCTGAGCAAACAGCAGCCAGATATCCCTCAGAGGCCTATCTAAGGGTCCTCAGTAAAAGGGGGCCATGGTTTGAGGCTCCTGTTGCATGATCATTTGGAGTTTGATGGCCTGAAGGTAAGAAGAGACAAACTGGGTTATTAGAAGATATGTATCAAATGAAACAAAGATGGGGTTATGGACAGCTCAAAAATCCTGAGGCTGCCAGCACATCCAGATAACTAGTGGCTATAGTTATGGATGCTAAGGTTTGGGTGCATGGGGCTTGGCTTTGGTTGGCACCCTTGGTCTTATTTTCCCAAAAAAGAAATCTCCAGGTTACGGGCACCCTATTTACTCCTGTCACCTAGCAGGATTTGCAGGATAATTTCCCAGAACTAGAATTTGATCTAGATTTTTATATTACCCATCCTTTTTTGTTTCTTCTGAGTGGCAGCTGGAGATCACTAGTTGGTTCACAGGAATAAGCAGGGTTACTTTAAAATGTAGGTGAAAAACTTAAAAACAACTGATGAATCTAGAATTTAATGACAAATGTATGATAAGTTTTGAAACATAATTTCTTTCTCCAGTCCTCATTTTTGTTGAAAACAAATCGTGATAGGACTAAGTTGTTTGCAAAATAAACTTGGTCTTATACTTGGCCTGATTATTTGCATAAAGTGCAGTAAGGATAATTATTTTTACATAGGCTTCTTAAATTGGCTTTGATGGAACTTTGTCCCACAAGGAATCTCACATAGGACTTTTTAAAGCTGAGCCCAGCCATGGGTTTGTGTCCTCAAACACCTATGAGTTGGGTGAATTCCTCTCTTCTTGAGGTCCCAAGAATATGAGGTTCCTGGGCCTGTTAGAAAGTGACATTATTTACTCACCACAGGTTAGGGACCCTGTACAGGGACTGTGTAGACAAGGTATGAGGTCGGTTTTCCTAAGGGGCTTTTATTGGCTCTGCAAGTCGAGCTTGATTCTTTGGAGTAAAGCATACCCTTTCAGTCAAAGCCTTGGTAAAACAACTGGTGATATGGCTTGGCTGTGTCCTCACCCAAATCTCATTTCAAATTGTAGATCCTATAATTCCCAAGTGTTATGGGAGAGACTCAGTGGGAGATAATTGAATCATGGAGGCAGTTTCCCCCATACTGTTCTCATGGTAGTGAATAAGTCTCATGAGATCTGATGGTTTTATAAGGGGAACCCCCTTTCACTTGGTTCTCATTCTCTTGCCTGCTACCATATAAGATGTCCCTTTCACCTTCCACCATGATTGTGAGGCCTCTCCAGCCACATGGAACTGTGAATCCATGAAACCTCTTTATTTATAAATTAAATATAAATTTGGGTATGTCTTTATCAGCACTATGAAAATGAACTAATACAACCAGTTTCTCCAATTGCATCCTGTTGCAAAAGAAAATGGATTCTTATTGCACTGATGCAAATAACCATATTGCCATAAGTTAAGAATACTCACAGACAGTTTCTAAATTCTAGAGGAAACAGGGAGAGAGAGACAAACATGCTCCAAATTTTGTTCACAGGAGTCTACCTTACTCAATTATCAAAGACTATAAATATCTCAAAATGAAAGTTTCCTTGACTCTGAAAAAAACAAAACAAAGACCAGCAATGTTTTAAGCAAAAGTTAAAAAAAGATTACTTCAGTTTTCTATTAGTTCAGTCCATTCAGTTAACTCTTGTTCTGCTTGATATTCATGAACATTTCAGCTTTTCATGAGTCTGGTACATTTTTTCTTTATTCCAATGTCACAGTCTACAAAGTTATCAGCTAACTGCATTTGAGAGCACCTGACAAAGTTCTATAGCTGCTTATAAACCATCTTTTGAAGATGGTCAAAACAAGACACCAATTGTGAATAACAAAATGCTCAGGGTAACTACAGTCTAAAACACGATTGACAAAAAAATTTGGTTATCTCTGTGGTTTACAATAATTTAACATAACACATTTCATTGTGATTAATATCAAAATTAGACATTAGAATTTTAGAAATCACAGACAATTTTGGAACTTAATATTATTCACTAAAATATAACTTGAATAAGATTAAACATCATTTTGGCAATCCCATGTACCTAAACATGTCAGGTAATTCTGTTTACCTCTCATCTGGATGCTCCAGGGGCCCTCAGTAGCATCCAAAAGCTAGCAGACAGGAAAAACAAGTTTGAAGCTGAAATTTGATTTTGGGAAGCCTGTTAAATATGTTTGAGGTTTAAAACATTTGATGGTATGCACTTGATGGTATGAAATAGAATTCAGATTACCGTAAGTTATTTATTTTGCCAAAATGAATAACTCAACAATTTTTAAACCAGGCAAAAGCTTTTACTCATTTAAAGGGAAGACTTAGCTTTCCAAACAATTTGTCTCCTGTCTTCTCTTTCTTTCACTTCGCAGTCTATCTGCAAGGCAAACAGAAATCTTTCATTATCCTTTACTATTACATGAAAATCTTGTAAAAGGGAGAGAAAGCCAAATTTTACCCTTATATTAGTTTGCTATTCATGTCAACCCAAAGTTTTTAAATGAAATCTTACAATTCTATCCAATCCTAACCAGTTTGACCATGAGGTAAGATTCTTATACACCTTTTATAACACTTTACAAATCCTGCTAAAGAGCAGATTTGTGACTTAAGATAACCTTGTTGTGCTTTTATTTCAATGCTCAACTTATAGAAAAACCATATAATACACTTTGGAATTTAGTCAATGTTCACACACAGAATTTCTTTTGCAAGATTAATTTTTAGAAACCTTGCATAACTTGTTTAAACATTTAGCTTTATCTTATGTAATTTGAAACAATCCTTTAACCCTAGGCAAAAATTTTACCTTTCCATGCCTTCTTATAATCTTTTAATAAAAACAAATTTTACTGTTCTTACACACCTCGCATGGAAATCCATTTTCAGTGGTCTCAATTACATGTTATAATGGCAACTCTTAGCAATTTTTAGTTTTAATGTAAAACCTGGTAAGTTGTTTTAATTATGCACCAGGTGCCAATAAAGTTTGATTCCTTCTAGCATAGTTAAGGGTGTGGTTAATTCCATATGTCCCCAGGCCTTACCAAGTTGTAAAGCTCACAAGTTGAACTGTTTTCAAAGGCCAAAGAAGCAGTTTACAACCTTAAAACATTTAGCAAATCTAGGATCTTACTTGCATAATTTAGACCACCTATTTATATTTTAATGACATTTGCATTTTACCCATAATCTTTAAGACAGTTTTTATTTGTCAAAGATTAAAGTCACATGAACTAAAAGGTATTACAGCTTTTATCTTTCCTTCAAAAAATATTTGATCTAAGCACTTATTTTCCTTTGAGCCAATTAATTAGAGCTCTTTTTTTATAGACATCACACACAACACATATATAGCTACACAGACAAACAGGAGAAGATCTAGTAGTTATAAGATTTTTCATTTGCCAATGTTCTAATTGGATTATTGTCCTTTGGATGGGGCCCTTTAAGAACAGGGCTAGGAAAACATGCTGTTTCTGGGGCCTGATAAACAGGTATAGCAGGAAGACAAAAAGAGATTTTGAGAGGTATTTATCCACCTTCAATTCCTGGGGTTCCATGAGGAAAACAGAGGTTTCTGCCAAAATGGAATCCTTGCTACATTTTCTGTTTTTCCCAAAGAGTCCCAGGGCATCACAAGTTATCTTAGGGCATCTCATGCATGCATTAAGAGTGGCAAGACAAGGTGGAGAAGAGTAATTCAGTTGACTGAGAAAAAAACTTTTTCCAGCAAAACAAGATCCAAGAAGAGAAAAACATAAAGGCCTTTTAAGTGTATCTATAACTTAGATGTCCACTTTTAATTAAGCTGAGTGCTCTTTAAGAAAATCCTTTAAATGCCTTATTACCCAATTTTGGCCACAGTATAGTGGCCAATATTTCTGGCTCTTGAACTTTACCAAAAGTCACCTCACAGCTGAAACCAACAAGCCTCAATTAAGACACCAGGTTGGCTACAGCTTAAGACCAACTTCATAAATTCTTTTTCATTAATCAAAACTTTATAGAGAATGTAAACAGTGATCCTTATCATTCCTTTTACCAGTTTGCAGAGGGAAAGAGAGGTCAAAAGTCCAACTGGCAAAAAAACGCTTTTACCCTTTTGCTGGCATGTCAGGCTTCTGGGTTCCCTTCCCCCAAGCTCAGTTCTAAACCAGCCAGTTTAGGTTTGGGACATTAACTTTTCTCAGTTTGGAGGGTGCATCTGAGGCGAGTGTCCTCTAGTGCGAAGACACAATTACCCATTTGTGAAGAGTAAACAGAGGAGGAAAAAGGAAAAAAAACAAGGCTTTTTTTTTTTTTTTTCAAAGGATCCCAAGGGTTTCAGGATGCATTTGAAATGGGGACAGACTGAAGATGAATGGCTACTCATCTAGAAAGAGGGGAGCCAGGCATCTGTTTCCTTTCTCTTCCTAGTAAATACCCTGGGTATGTGAGAGAGAGAAGGAAAAATTATCCTCTTTCCTTCTTCTGTCCTTATATCCCCAAGTCCCGGTGACCTTGACAGGGTGCCGCCCATGGATGTTAATGCGGCTTTCACCCATGCTAATAGGGGGTCTGGGAGTGGGAATATCCACACTTCCTCACACACGGCCTTTCTCTCTGCCATTGGTGGCCTTCAAATTCCCTGGACCTCATTTATGCCATGGATACTAGCATGACCTTTATTCATGAAATGGGAGGCCTGGCTTAATAGACAGGAATTAATCATGCTCACATGTGCTGTGTCTTTTAAATTCTGTTGTCATCTGCCTGTGGATCGCTCAGATCCATTTTTCTTTCCTAGGGCTTCAACCTGAAGCTTGGAGTTGAGTTGGGAAAAAAGAACTGCCTCAGTGGGGAAGCACAGACTCATCAAGCCCCATGTGCCTCTTGACAGCTTGGCTGTTGCCTCCTTATCCTAAGCTGAATGCTAAGGTGAAAATGTGGAATTGAGTCCTTCTCAAACAAGGGAGGGAAAAACGGTGTCCTGTAATTGGGGTCCTGGTCTAGTAAGATGCCTTCCAAGAGGAAAAAGCCTCTGGCATAGCTATAGAAGCTCCCACTACTCACAGAGATGTGTTATTAAGTTGGTGCAAAAGCAATCATGGTCCCCACCATTGTAAATAATGGCAAAAACCACAACTACTTTCACACCAACCCACCAACTTTTGACCTGCTGGAGAAAAGAAAACAAACAAACAAACAAAAAAACAGATTAAATGCAGGGCTGTGTTAACTACTGACAAGGTAGAGAAAAGAAAAAAACAGCTTAAGTATGGGGCACAGAAGATGCCTGGGGGAAGAATCTCTTATTCTTATGCAAATGGGTTTCTCCAATAGGCAGAGAAACTTTTAATTGATGTCAGACCAAGCTGGACCCCTCGGCTGGGGGAGGAGAAGACTCTGTGGACATATGGTGGGGGACACTGACCAGCCAGCCATGTGGGGCCTGGGGCCCTGAGACCGCCCTGGGGCCCGGGCAGTGGCTATGGCTCAGTCCTGTCCTGCATGGCCATTGGATGCCATGTGCACAGGCAGCAGACACGGTCATGCACCCTAGCAGGGAGGGAAGATGAGGGTGCAGGGAGCAGCTGTTTGCCCATCCATCCTGTGCGTACACCTGTGGCCATTGGGGTGGGGTTGGAACACCTCAAATATTGTAAGAGAAAAGATAGGTGCTATTACAGTTCACCTGCAAAAAAAGGAAAATCCATAGAAAAGACTGGGTTGAACTGAGGCTGACATTCCCAACCCGTTGCAGGGGGGCCAGTTTGCCCTGCCCTCAGAAAATATCTGAGGATGAGAAAGCTCAGTAACAAAAGGGAACGAGATTTTTGGGTCTGCATTTTACTCACCCTTCCTCATGTCCCCATATGGGCTACCACAATGATGCAGGATTTTTTGCTCCTTAGTTCAGCCAAATCTGGGTTCTTGTCTCACAACCAGGAAAAATTAGGCGTGTAGACATATCGAAAGGTGAGGAGGGTGGAATTTATTAAGCGAAAGGAAAGCTCTCAACAAAAAGAGGGGTCCTGTATGCAGGTTTTCCACTTTACAAAAATTGAATACCAGGCCACCACACATGAGCTGAAGAGGCCTGAGTCCTCCCCTGCATAAGGTATGCATTCCTGGTGGGTCCACCCCATTCTTCCAGTGCACGTGCCGGTCCTTAGTCTGAGCCACTCCACATTGATTTATTTTCCTTACTGTGGATGTGTTAAGGGATGGGATTTTTCTCACCGTGGGCATGTTTAGTCAAGCCCCCTGTGCCCAATGACCTGGGCAGCATTTGACTATCTCCTGCCTCTATTACAACCATAGGCAATTTCCTAAAAAAATAAAATTCTTAATTTTATAGATGAGAAATATCACCTTATTACTTTTAGTTTCCATTTTAGAAAAGTAAAAGAGATTCTCTTCATGTTTTTCTAATGTCAATTTAGAGTTTTTCTTAATGATTCGTATGGTTCAATGTGCTGAAGATATTAATTAGTCCTACACATACTTTTGTCATTTATTATTGTGTACATTATGCTTAAAACAGCATGTATATATACATATGCATGAATATATATATATATGCAGTTTAAAGAAAAATAATATAGTAAATACCCATGATTCCAAAACAGCCTTGAGAAATAGAAGATTAACATCACCTTAAGCCCTCTTGTATGTTCATTCCTTACTTACCACTTTTCCTCTCTCCCCACCTCAAAGGTGACCATGAACTTGAAATTTGTATAAATTGTTGCCTTCCTTTTTATAGTTTAAAAATATCTATGTTCAATTTTGCCTGCTTTTGCACTTTATGAGATAATATGGTATATACTGTACTATGGCTTATTTATGTATTTTTGCAGAATTTTGATTTTAAGATTCATTCATGCTAATGCATGAAGTTGTAGGTCATTCACTTCCATTGCTTTATGTTATTTCATTGACAAACATTTGGAATGTTTACACTGTTATGTTTTTATAAGCAATGCTGCCAACACATGCCATCCATGTGGGGTAGTCGGCTATCACCTGGTAGACATGCTCTGGGGTTTTTCTAGGGATATCACTAAAAGTGGAACTGCTCAGACTTCCATGTATGCTTATACACAGCTTTATTTGGTAATACAAAATTGCTTCTCAATCTAATTGTACTCATTTATAATACCTTTGGCAATGTATAAGAATTGTAGTTGCTCCACATCTTTGCTACATAGTATTGTCAAACTAATTTTTGCCAACATAATGGTTTTGAAATTTTATTTTATTATGATTTTGATTTGTATCTGTTGGCCACTCCTGTTTCCTTATCTTCATTTGTGTCCTTTGGCTATTTTTTAATTGTGTACCTTCTCTTACTGACTCATATCTTTATATATTCTGAAAAATAATTATTTGATTATTACATGTTATGCAATAATCTTCTTTCAGTTTATGGCTTGTCTTTTTTACTTTGTGTGTCTTTTTTTGTCTTTATATGCCTTCTCTGAACAGAAAAACCTTGATTTGAATATAGTTGAGTCCCTCAATCTTTGCTGTATGGTTTGTGCTTGTTGTGTCTGGCTTAGGGAATCTTTCTCTGTTTCAGGGTTTTAAATATATCTTCCTATATCAACTTCTGAAAATATTGCAGTTTTGATCGTCACATTTAAGTCTTTAACTCACCTAAAAATTATTTTTGTGTATGGTTTGAGGAAGGGATCTATTTAAAATATTTCCATATGGATGAACATTTGCTCCAGTACCATTTACTTCTTTTTTCTCTACTGAGCCGCAATTTTGCCTCTGGCATATTTTGAATTTCCATATGTATATGTCTACTTCTGGGTGCTACGTTCTGCTCTTGTTGTCTATTTGTCCATCTCTCTTGCAATACCACATGGTCCACCTTTTTCTTTCTTTCTTTTTTTTTTTTAATATAATCAGTCTTGCTATCTGGTAGGACAAATTGCATATTCTTGGCTTGGCCTTTTTTATGCTTTTACATCAGTTTATAAATCATCTTGTCAAGTTTCAGAAAAAGAAACCCAAAGCCAAAAAAAAAAAAAAAAAGCACCCTATAGTTATTTTAATTAGAATTGCTTAAATCTTTGGAGCAATTTAGGAAAAACTGACTCTATAATAATAACTCTTTCTAGCCTAGGCAACATGGCGAAACCCCATCTCTACAAAAAATTAGCCGGATATGGTGGCATGTTCCTGTATTTCCGTCTAGTCAGGAGGCTGAGGTGGGAGGATCACCTGAGCACAGGAGGTCAAGGCTGCAGTGAGTTGTGATCACACCACTGCTCTCCAATCTTGGTGACAGAGTGAGACTGTGTCTCAATAATAATAATAATAATAATAACTCTTCCTGTGAACGTTATGTTCCTCTTCATTTATTTATGTTTTCTTTAAGGCCTTTTAATATGTTTCCTACTTTGTATGTAAAGGTCTTGCACATCTTTGGTTAGATTTATTTCTAGGTGGCATATATTATTTTGTTGCTATGATAAATATTATCATTTTTTAAACATTGTTTTCTGTTTGTTGCTTATGTCTATTGATCTCACAATTGGCAAACTTAAACATTCCTATTAACTCTATTATGTAGGCTATGCTGGGACGTTTTTTATTAATTATACTATCTACAAATAATGCTTCCAATTTTTCAGAATTGCTTCTACATTTATTTTTTGTTTTATATTTGTTTAAAATGTATACATAGGGCCAAGGTCAAATCTCCAAAACAAGGAATATTTAGAGAAATCTAATGTCCTTCTGCCCACATATGTGGCTTTCAGTTTATCCTTATATTAAAAAAGTAATTCTTCTTACATTATCAGATAAATGATAACATACAATATTCACTTTTTTACACTTTGGTTTTTTCTCTAAGAAAACATCCTGGAGATCACTCTATAGCAGCAGATAGGGATGCTCGTTGTTGTCTTAAACAGTTGTACAATATTCCATTATGTTGTGAACCATAGTTAATTTAACTAGTCTCCTATAGGGGGATATTTGAATTACTTCTTTTTTTTTTCTGTTACAATTGTTTTAATTAATAGCCTTCTGTAAAATCTTTAATGTTTTTGTAAGTGTGTCTTTGATGATTGTCACTTGGAATAAGATTGTTAGATCAATGAACATGCGCATTCATAATTTGGTTTGATGTGGAAGGCCATATAACTTTTCATCCTCTCCAGCAATATCTCAGAATTCCTGTCTCCACACAAACTCCCCAACAAGGTATTTTGTCAAACATTTGGATTTTGCTAGTCTGATACAAGAGAAATAGTATCTTAAAGTAGTTGTAATATGCATTTCCCTTGGCATAAATAATGGTTTAATATTTTTTCCTTTTTTTTTGGAGTTTTGTAGTTTCATGAAGATATTTCCAGGTGCAACTTTGTTTTTATTTATTTTGTTCAGGTTTCACCAGGTGTTCTGAATTTGAGAGTTTCTGTCTTTTACTGGAATATTCTTAGCCCACGATATCTTTGAATTTCGTCTTTCCATTATTTCCTTTATTTTTTCCTCTTGGAAGAAATAATGTGGTTTTGACTGTCTTGTTCTATTCATATTAAGTTGATCTCTCTTTTATATTTTCTTAACACTTTGACTCTGTGCTGCATTACAGATGTTTCTTTCTCTCCCAGCACCTTTATTCCTTTATCAGCTGAATTTAATGTGCTATTTAATTTATTCACTGTGGTCAGGCCTGGTGGCTCATGCCTGTAATCCCAGCACTTTGGGAGGCCAAGGCGGGTGGATCACTTGAGGTCAGGAGTTCGAGAGCAGCCTGGGCAACATGGAGAAACCCTGTCTCTTCTGAAAATACAAAAATTAGCTGGGCATGGTGATGCATGCCTCTAAGTCCCAGCTACTCGGGAGTCTCGGGCAGGAGAATCGCTTGAACCCAGGAGGCAGAGGTTGTAGTGAGCTGAGATTGCACTACTGCACTCCAGCCTGGGTGACAGAGCAAGACTATGTCTCAAAAAAAAATTCATTGTATTTCTAATTTCAATAAGCATATTTTTTACAAGGTTTTCTGTTTGTGTCTTTGTAATACCTTTTGGTATTATAAAGTTTGATGATTAGTCTCTTCTTCCTTAACTATACTGTCCAACCCCTCTTTGATTTCTTTAAATATGTTAATACACTCACATTCTGTTTCTGACAATTCCCATATTTGCTGCCTTTGTGGATCTGAGTCTGTAGGATTTTTTAAAACTGACTCTTAATAATGATAATATGGTACCTCATTTATTTATGCTTTTTGGTTGTGAGCTGATTATGGCCTGCGGTGCTTTTCCATAGAATTTTTGGAAAACTGAATTTAAAGAGTATTGCACTAGAAATGATTTACGTGTGCTCTGTCAGGTGCCTAGAGACCAGCTTAAGATAAATTTTTGATTTGGATTTTTCCAGCCACATAGGTAGTATAAATTCTAGCCACAAACACAAGCTTATAGTCAGAAATTCTTAGGGGATATGTATTCTTTCCCAACCCTTATCCTGAGCTAAGGGTGAAATAGGCAAGCCTATTTCTGTGGACTGGTTTTTCCCGAGTTCATTAATTGAAGGTATTACTTTTCAGAGAGTGCTAGATTTATATAGTTTCTGATCCAGACCTCTCGCCCTATTAGTGTCCAGACTTTGTCTCTTGTCCCTTTTGCTAGTGCAACCTTTTAAAACCCAGGCACTGGGCCATCAGAGATTGGCAAATGCCAAATGCCGTATGGCATCTCCAGAGTCACCTTACCCCTGCGGAATTATTCCTACTCATCATTAATGGCTGCCAGTGGTCTACTTTCCTTTATTACTAGCTTAATCTTGCTTTCAAGTAGTCACTTTAAAAATTATTTGTGTATTTTTTAATTAAAAAATAACATACATACAAAAAAGTGCACAAGTTGTAAGTGTACACAGTATGATGCCTTTTTACAAACTGAACATATCCTTGTCAGCACCCGATCAAGAGACAGATTATTACCAGCTTTTCAGAGTCTGCTCTTGTGCCTCTTCCCACTCATGACTGGATAGGTCAGAGCAATGGGCTTAAGTGACAACGACCGTCCACAATATCACTAATCTAAGTGACATCATATTGAGTGAAAGCAGCCACATGTAAGAGAGTGCACACTGCAGCACTCCATTTATACATGGCCCACAGATAAGACAAAAGAGTTCTTTCTTATGCTTTGATCACCCTTTCGATGATCAGAACTCAGAACAGAATCTCTGCATATGTGGTTAGCTATTTGCTGGAAGTAGAACCCTGGTATTATATTTTGAGATACAGAAGTTTTAAATTTTACATAGCAAAATCTACTGATTTTCTCCTAGTGTTATTCTTGCCATTTCATTTGAAGAAAATCAGACATCTGTGTCTCTATAATGTTTTCTAGGTTTATTGTAAATACACTTTCTGAGGTTTGTTTTGGTTTAGTTCATGTACTGTGACTTTCAGTTGATTGATTGTTCCAGAATAGTTTATTTATATGGTATTTCTGGGTTATAGCATTCTCTCCACTTTATTGTTTGTTCAAGCACCAGTACATTGCTCTGTCTGTTCTTCTATTTTGATTACCATGGCTTTATATTATGTACTTTTTAATATATGTTAAGGCAAGTCCCACCTTATTATTCCCTGCATTTCTTTAGAAAATTTATTTAGTTATTCCTAACATTTGTTTTATTTTTTTACAGGTGAAAATTAGAACACTAGAGCTACACCCCACCCCAATATTCCCTTAGAATATTAACTAGAAGTACATGAATTCTATAAATATATTTAAATAGATTTAAAATAGCCAGCCAATAAAAGAATATGGCTCATCTTTCTATTTTCCAAATATCCTCTTATGTCTGTCAGTAATGTTGACACACTTCATTATGGTGTGAATTTACTATGTATTTATTATGAATGAGCTCTAATTTTACATTATATTTTCTAACATGCTATTGCTAGCATGTAGGACAATTATTGATTTTTAAATATATTTGTTTCATTTTCAGCTGCCCAATTAAATTATTTTATGTTGGTTCTAATGGTTTTCATTTGATTCTCTTGTACTTTCTAGGTAAACAAACAAACAAACAAAAAATATGTACAAACAATGACAACCCTCTCCACTCTTTTCTGATATCTCCTATATCTTATATCCAATTGAATTGGCTAGACCAATGACAAATAATCATAATGCTAGTAGATATCTTTGTTCTCTTTTTAATAAGAATATAAAATAGTGTTGCTATAATTTTCTAGACATGAAATTATATTTAGCTGGTTATCAGCTTTTTTTCTGGCAGTCTTTATATATAGTGACTTTCTCATTTTTGTATATTGAATTGTGGCCAGATGGAAAACACTTTCAAATTTTTTTCTGGAGGGATAAATGATTGGCATACTCTATGAGCCATACATATCTGAAATGGAGTCCTACTGTTTTCACATACAAGTATACCCAAACATCAAAATCTTGATTAAGTATAACATTCTTGAGCCTTCACATTTTTCTTTCAAAACTCTATTACTCTTCCATTTTTCTAAAATATAGTAATGCAGAAATGATTGAAGCATGCCTAATTTTAGATAATTTGTGCATAATGTAGAATCTTTCTAAATTTTTTTTCACTGGCTGAATATTGGTAGGATATTTTTGCTACCAATTTAATTTAATTTTTTTTCACTGTGCCTATAACATTGGAATTATTTGATTTTTGTCTTGAGTATGGTGAATTATTTCAATCTGTGTGCTAATGTGTTTATTTGGCCAACAAAAATTATCTGAATTATGTCTGACTTTCTTGTCTGTCCTAATTGTTCCATAGTCCTCATAAACAACTATAATTCTATGATTTAATTTTTTATTCTGTGCAATTTTATCTATAATATTAGTTTTTATATTGCCTTTTATTTCCCTGGTCTTGTTGCTTCATTCTTTTCCACTGTTTCAAACTTGCGGGAATTTTGGAACTTATTCAACATTACTAATTCAGTTTTCTGTAGTTTGATCTTTCTATTTACTGTTGTTAATTTGAATATAAACACTGTAAATCCCACAACAATTTGCTCTATAATAATGCTAATTCTCATATAACAATTGACTGCCTTCCTTTGCATAGCCAAATTCTAAGGCAGAGAAAGTTAAATTTCTTATCCTCTTGGGAGAATAGGGTTTGACTGGGAAGATGAGGCCAACAAAGAAATAATAGGCTTTTTAGGAAGTGCAGAGGGAGAGGGATAGTTCCCTCTTCTCAGGGTTGTTTCAGTCCAAATTTGCCAACTTGGGCTGATAAATAAGCATCATCCACTTAGGAGACTCCTGGAATTGCTGCCATGATCCTGGGAGCCCCCAGCAGCCACAGGGCCTAGAATTGCCCCTCAACATTGAAGTGGCATAAACAGTCATTACCTAGTGGTGCCAAACAGTGGCCAAGAGCAACGTGGATTTGGATGGTGCAGTGTGATCCCTTGTAATAACACAACTCTGTATTTTATGTGGTTGAATTTTGGGACTTTCACTGTACTAAAGTGACTCAGGCAGATTGCAATTGATTTAGAGGTTTATTTTGCCAAGGTGGAAGATGCACCTGGGAAAAAGAAACAGAAGTTACAGTAGGATCTGTGGCCTGTGTTTTTTCCAAAGAGGGTTTTAAGGACTTCAATATTTAAAGGGGAAAGAGCAAGCAGGAGGGGAACAAAGAATGGAAAGAAAGGCCTGGGAGGGTAGGCAATGAGGCAAATGGTTACTTGTAAAGTTTTGATTAGCTCAATGAATCTACATTTTACATGTGAAAAGAAAGGAATGCGGGGGAAGTCAATTATTCCCTCACATGCTCAGTAAATCTACATTTTACATAAGATAATGTAAGCATGTGAAATTACAGCTATCTGTTTGGGAACAAAGAAAGGCAGTTTTTTTGCATGACTCAGTTCCCAAACTTAACTTTTCCCTTCTTATGCTTTGATCACCTTTGCAATGATCAGAACTCAGAGCAGAATCTCTGCATATATGGTTAGCTATTTGCTGGAAGTAGGACCCTGGTATTATATTTCGAGATACAAAAGTTTAAATTTTTTACATAGCAAAATCTACAGATTTTTCTCCCAAAGTTATTCATAACATTTCATTTGAACATTTCATTCATTAGACATAGTGAGTTTGGGGTCCCAAGATTTTATTTTCCTTTCACATACTCATCATTAGTTTCAATAAATTTCCTCTTTTGCCTACCCTTCTTTTTCATCTTGATCTTTTTCCATCTTTTCTCATCATAATCTTCTTTATAGTATCCTGCTCCCAGTGCCCCAAAGCCACAACTTTTTACATCTCAGCATTTCCTTAAAATCTCCTTCTGAACTGAAAGAGTTCATGCAATACCTACCGCAACATCCTGTGTATTCTTCTCACAGGGCTCTTTTTTTTTCTTTTTTTTTTTTCTTTTTCAGACAGAATTTCACTCTTTCATCCAGACTGGAGTGCAGTGGTGTGATCTTGGCTCACTGCAACCTCCGCCCCCCAGGTTCAAGTGATTCTCCTGCTTCAGCCTCCCGAGTAGCTGGGATTACAGGAGCCCACCCCCATGCCTGGCTAATTTTTGTATTTTTAGTAGAGAAGGGGTTTTGCCATTTTGGCCAGGCTGATCTCGAACTCCTGACCTCGTGATCCGCCTGCCTTGGCCTCCCAAAGTGCTAGGATTACAGATGTGATCCATGGTGCCCAGCTGTCACAGGGCTCTTTCTAGCACTATACTACCCCGCCATGTATTGCTAGCTCCATGTTACCCAGCCCATATGATTTGAGCTCTATATATTCTAAGACACAATTACTTGTCATTGACTCCCCTGCAGAACCCCCACTTACTGCATTGTTTCTGGGAGTGGTTGAAATATATAGACAGATGGTTGTGATTGGATTGGGAAGGAGGCCTCAATAAAAACATAGGTGGCACTATGCAGTTGATACACAGCTGCCCTTTTTGGTGACACTTTCTGATCCCAATTAAAGCATTATAATAGTTTCCTGAAGAGAAGCACACAAATATTCCACATTTTCAATGCTGGTTGTAGCACAGTTTACAAGTACCTGTGTATTCAGCAGTGCAGGGCAATGGTATCTTTCTTTTGGCAATTTGACCTCAAAAAGAGTAGCTGCTTTTGCAAATTAAAGGATGCAATCAGATTCCCCCTTTGCATGAATGCTTGTTCAGAACCAATCCATGCCATTTCTCCAGAATCTCTGGGATGTGCCTGTTCTTCACGTGGAGGCCAGTTTCTCTCCTTTCCCCAGGGCTCTGCTCTTCCTAAGTGGGTCACATGACAAGTGTGGCTACTCTTTGACCTGAGGTTTGTGAATGAGCCTGCATCATAAATCCTCTCTCTCCTCCATCTGCTAAAGTATAACACATCCTTCTAAAAGAAGCCAACGGGTCATGATCAACATTTACCAAGAACCCACTCTGTGCCAGGTACTGGCTATGCACTCATTTTTCTATTTAATTCTCATATCCACACTAAGAGGGAATTGCTATTAGCACCATTTGACACATTAGGAAACAGGATTAGGAAAAGTATATAATTTCTCCAAGATTACACAACTCATGAATGGCACAACCAAGCCTCAGATCCAAGTCTGTTTGACATTAAAGATTATGATCTCATTCTTGTCCTGAATCTGCCCAAGACCATCTCCAGCCTTCTTTAATCTTTAGGGATGGGGCCATTTGTGGGATAATATATCTAGATACCATGTTAAAATAAATTTCTTATACAGTTAGTCCAGGTGCGGTGGCTTACGCCTGTAATCCCAGCACTTTGGGAGGCCGAGACAGGCAGATTGCCTGAGGTCAGGAGTTTGAGACCAGCCTGGCCAACATGGTGAAACCCCATCTTTACTAAAAATACAAAAACTAGCTGGGTGTGATGGCAGGCACCTGTAATCCCAGGTACTCAAGAGGTTGAAGAAGGAGAATCACTTGAACCTGGGAGACAGTGGTTGCAGTGGGCCGAGATTTTGCCACTGAAATCCAGCCTGGGCAACAGAGTGAGACTCCATCTCAAAAAAAAAAAAAAAAAAAAGAGGAAAAAAAAATTATACAGTTAGACTGACATTCCTGAACCTCATTTGTAATTATATTGGTTAAGGATACCATGAAATATGAGCTTTCATGTTCAAATGAAATAAAACATCTTGTTTATGAGCATGTTGCATCTGCCTGTATAATAAAAGAGATATTTTCTTCAGACAGCTACCTTGAGTTGTATAACTTCTTCCCTCTTACCTAGACTACGGTGAATTCCTTAAAAACAAAATGGAGAGACTATAGTAGAAAGAAAAAAAAATAATTTGATACAGCCTTATTGCTATAGTCTGAATATCTGTGTCTCCCCAAAATTCATAGGCTAAAATATTGACCCTCTAGGGGAAGGTGTTAGGAGGTAGGACCTTTGGGAGATGATTAGGTCATGATGATGAAACCCTCATGAATGAGATTAGTACCCTTATAAAAGAGGGCAAAGAGACTTCTTGCCCCTCCATGATATAAAGACATAGCAAGAAGTCACCATCAATGAATCACAAAGCAGGCCATCCCCCAGACCCCAATTTTGCCTTGTTTGTGGACTTTCCAGCCTCCAGAACTGTGAGAAGTAAATTTCTGTTGTCTTATAAGCTATCCTGTTCATGGTATTTTGTTACAGCAGCCTGAACAGACTAAGACAATTCTTCATGTGGCATACTGTTTTGCTAAACGGTAGTTCAACCACACTGCCATCTCACATTTTCCTGGGTTTCGGGTTATTGAGGCATTGACGCTCTGACCCTTTCTACTCATCTTTTCTAAGTAATGACAAATGGTGTATTTGTCAGTGTTTGATATCAGAAAAGAGAGAACAAGACAGTTAAGATGTGCAGTTTGGTGTGATATTCCTAAATATAAAAAAAATTATCTCCTAGAAATTAACTTATGTATATGTTTTATAATCATATGAACATACGCTATTATTTATTTAAAAGCTACTAATTCATTTGCTTTTAATGTTAATCATCAAATCTCTAACAAATTTAAATTGTAAGGTCTAATGGAAGTTAAGAGGATTCATGGAGAGGCTGTGTGGGAAGTGGAGAATGAATTTCATAAGCTGTCTTAGAAATAAAAGTGCAGACCTGGGCGGGGCACGGTGGTTCACGCCTGTAATCCCAGCACTTTAGGAGGCTGAGACGAGTGGATTATGAGGTCAGGGGTTTGAGACCAGCCTGGCCAGCATGGTGAAACCTTGTCTCTACAGAAATTAAAAAAAATCAGCCGGGCATGGTGGTGCGTGCCTGTAATCCCAGCTACTCAGGAGGCTGAGGCAGGAGAATCACTTGAACCCGGGAGGTGGAGGTTGTAGTGAGCTGAGAGCGGATCACTGCACTCCAGCCTGGGCAATAAAGTGAGACTCTGTCTCAAAAGAAATAAAGGAAGGAAGGAAGGAAAGAAGGAAGGAAGGAAAGAAGGAAGGAAGGAAAGAAGGAAGGAAGGACGGAAAGAAGGAAGGAAGGAAGGAAAGAAGGAAGGAAGGAAAGAAGGAAAGAAGGAAAGAAGGAAGGAAGGAAGGAAAGAAGGAAGGAAGGAAGGAAAGAAGGAAGGAAGGAAAGAAGGAAGGAAGGACGGAAAGAAGGAAGGAAAGAAGGAAGGAAGGAAGGAAAGAAGGAAGGAAGGAAAGAAGGAAGGAAGGAAAGAAGGAAGGAAGGAAAGAAGGAAGGAAGGAAGGAAAGAAGGAAGGAAGGAAGGAAGGAAGGAAGGAAGGAAGGAAGGGTGCAGACATGAGATGTCTTGAGCTGGCCTCATTTTGCCCTTGTAGGAATGGGCTATAATTTAAGGCCAACTTAAATGCTTTGCTGCATGTCTTCCCTCCCTTGAATTCTCCTCAAATTGCCATTGATCTTTCAGGAAGCTCCTCACGCACACACCCCATCCCTGCTCCCCAAACACACACGTTTTAACATTTTAGAAGTGAGGAAGGGAGGAGAGAAAACAAACGAAACAGTTGAACAGGAAGACAAACAGAAAAGAGATATGCTCAGGAAAGCAGTTTCAAGCCCTATACTCCTTCCATTAAAAGCCCTAAGTTCTCACACCTTGTTTCCGTGAAATCCTAGTGATGTGCATCAGACCTATCCTTTCTTGGAATTGAAGAGGTTAGTCACAGAACACGGTGGCGATGGGGCAGAGAAGTGAGACAGCTTAGAGTTCCCCTTTTGTTCTCTTCAGGCCCTCAGTGAGTTAGATGAGGCCCGCCCACGTTAGTGAGGGTGAATCTTTTTCACTCAGCTCCCTGATTCTAACACTAATCTCTTCTGGAAACACCCTCACAGTCACATCCAGAAATGATGTTTTACCAGCTCTATGGGCATGTCTTAGCCCAGTCAAGTTGACACGTAAAATTTACTAGCACAAGTCTACCCCTTATCAACTCGGTACCCATATGCATCTCCTTAAACCATACTTTAGCTCCAAATAATGACAATAACAAGGTTGTAATTCTACCTAAATGTGATATTACTCTCCTGCATATAAAAGCACAGCCCCTGGGTATTTGAATAGTCCTTCCTTTGTGGACTGCTTGGTTTTTTGTGGTGAAAGGTAGGTCATTGATTAATTTTCTGAATCCAGCTCTATTATCATCATTATTGGGAATTCCTCCCAGAATCTGACTACAGCTTTTCCTTTGAGCGTCATGTTCTGTGGTATTTTGTGATCATGAACTTTTCGGTAGATTTGTAGCTATTTTAGGGTGAGGTAGAATAAAGTTGTTAAGCAGGTGCCTTTTTTACTCCAAAGAGTAAACGTTTTAGATGACCAAATAAATGAATAAAAAAAAATCTTAGGATAATACTTTACCTAATGCACACTTCTGATAGGATACACTGAATTCACTGGTATCCAGCAAGAATAGCAAGTGACTGTTTTTAAGTCATGTTAGATTATCTGTGTATTTCAAACAAACATACTTTATATGATACTGTCTTAGTTTACTTTGTGTTGTTATAATAGAATACCACAGACTGGGTTATTTATAAAGAAAATAAATTCATTTCTCACAATTCTTGAAGGTGGGAAGTCCCATATCACAGTGACAGCATCTGATAAGGGACATTGAACTGAATCATCCCATGGCAGAAGGTGGAAGGCAAGAGAGTGTTAAAGCAAGAGAAAAAGAGAGGGCTGAATTCTCTTTTTACAACAAACCTACTCTCAAGATAATGAATGTACCCCCATAATAATGACATTAATCTAGTTATGAAAAGAGAGTCCACATGGCCTAACCTCCTCTTAAAGGTCCCACCTTTCAACACCATTGCACTGGGGGTACATTTCCAACACATGAACTTTGGAAGACACAATCAAACCATAGCAGGTATTTTATGTGGAAATGGAAACACCAAGCTGTATGTGTTTGTATATGTGTGTTTGTGTGTGTCTGTGTGTACGCATGTGTGTCTGTGCATATGCATGTGTGTCTGTGCGTTTGTGTGTGTCTGTGTGTTTCTGTGTGTCTGTGCGTATGGGTCTGTGTCTGTGTATATGAGTGTGTCTGTGTGTTTGTGTCTGTCTGTACATATGTGTGTGTGTCTGTGTATATGCCTGTGTATGTGTCTGTATGCATGTGTGTCTGTGCATATGCATGTGTGTCTGTGTGTTTGTGTGTGTTTGTGTGTCTGTGTGTACGTGTGTGTGTCTGTGCATATGCATGTGTGTCTGTGTGTGTGTCTGTGCGTTTGTGTGTGTCTGTGCGTATGGGTGTGTATGGGTATGGACTTGCAGCTTCTAACTCCAAGGCTTAGAATAAATAATTCCATTCTCTTTCCATAATTTGGGCAGTTCAGTAGTTTGGCTTCCCTCTACAATATTTTTTGCTGATAATTTTCTTTTCTTTTTTTTTTTTTTTCAGTTTCTTATTACTCTACAGATTTCAGCTCCTGAAATTTTATACCTGAAGCCTTGCCATGAAATATTCAAAAGATGCTATATTTCATACCGCTGAATAAGCAGTTTGTTTATTCTCTCTTGGCAAGTGTGCTGCATAACATTGTTTCTAGAAAAGAGGTTTATGTGGCATGATTAAACATTCCATTTTCATAACGTGTCACTCATATACTGTCCATTCAGCCCCCAATATTTGTAGAAAACTATTAACTTGTAGATTATAACAAAAACATTTCAGAAAGTGACTTTCATTTCTGTTTTGCTCTCAGGTGAAGACTTTGAGGGATGAACATCCCCATTGTCCTTCAAAATGACTCTATCTGTTCGTTTTTCTTCTTTTCTAATTTTCAGAGAGAAAGAACCAATATTCTTTCTTTCCAAAGCCAACAATGCTATCTGTGACTGTGTTCCTGGTGCCTGTTGTATCTCTGAGCCCTTTCTTTCTTTCTTATCTATTCTCCTTCCCAACATTTTTTACATTCTCTCTTTTAACACCCTGTTTCTTCTCTTCCTTCAAATATACACTGGCTTCCATCTAGAAAAAAATTTTTTTTTAACCTGACTCTTTTGCTTACTCCAGCTGATCCAAATAATGTCTTTTAATTTTTTTCAATCATTAAATTTTGACTTTAATCCTATATGATTTAGTGTAACCTGTATGATAATACTGAATATGTATTCAAGTTTACCAGTAACCGTCAATTGCTAATTCTGATATTTTCACCGTTTGCAATTACTGACTATTTACAGGTAAACTCTCTACCTCTGAGTTCAGGCTTGCTTTACATTGATTTTCATCTCAATTCTTGCTCTGTTTATTTTCTTTCTATTTTTCCTTCCCTTATCTGTAGCCCCTTACACTTTGATTTCTTAACACTAATGCCTCTCCCTTTTGCTCTTGTGTCTTTAGATTCTTTCCGTAGATATTTCACTCATTTCCAAGTGTATTTGTCTACTCTCATGCTGCTAATAAAGACATACCTGAGACTGGGCAATTTATAAAGGAAAGGAAAGTTGAATGGACTCACAGTTCCACATGGCGGGGGAGGCCTCACAATCATGGCAGAAGAGTAAGAGACATTTTACATGGCAGCAGGCAAGAAAGAGATTGTGCAGGGGAACTGTCTTTTATAAAACCATCAGATCTCGTGAGACTTATTCACTATCATGAGAACAGTGTGGGAAAGACTTACCACCATGATTCAATTAACTTCCACCAGCTTCCACCCATGACACATGGGAACTATGGGAGCTACAATTTAAGATGAGATTTGGGTGGGAACACAGCCAAACCTTATCACCAAGGCTTCACTTTTTGGAATTCACCCACTATTCTGGGTATATATCATATATTATTTTTTCCCCTAATCTCTCCCATCCTTCAATTCAAATTTGCTTCTTCTTCTTCAGTTATTTTAACTGAAGGGCCAATTTTTACTCCAAGAAGCAAAACCAAACCAAAACCAAAACAAAACAACAACAACAAAAAACCAAACATAGCAAGACAAACAAACACAAACAACAAAAAGCCAATGAAAACCCAACGCAAAGCAAAATGAAAGCAAACAGAACAAAACCCCCAAACTCCATGGAATTTATTCTCCTTCCTTGGGTTAACATATTTTTGGTATTGTGGTTGATAATTCCATCAGTTTCCTTAGCTTAATGTGGTGGAGCTATTTTTGGCTCCTCCTTCCACCTCTGCCTTCTAGCAGCTTCTGAGGCAGAATGAGAGGCAGAATAAGCCACGGCCTAGAAGGCAGGATACTGGGGAGAGTTCTAATAATTAAAGCTTTGTATAAAACTGTGACAAAACTACTGATCAGGAACAGCTAAATAATTTGTGGGATCCGATGCAAAATGAAAATACGGAGGCCCTTTTTCAAAAATCATCAAGAATTTTAAGTTGGTGATGGCAGAGCATTAAACCAAATGTGAGGACTTCTCATCATGTGCCCCGTGTGGCTTCACAGGTCCCAATCCCATGAAGCTGTCTCTGTTGCGCTTCCTGGGCCACTGAATCCCTATCAGTTAAAAATGAAAATGGTTGACTTAAGTGATTGCTAAGACATTCTGTTTTGCTCTAAAATTCAGTGATTCTAGGCCTTTGGAGATTCTAGGCCTTCAATAATTCTAGGCCTTCAGTGATTCTAGGCCTTCTTTCTCTGCAACAGCTCCTAAATTGCTTCCATTATTCCTTCCATCTTGCTGGTGGAGTAATACCCAAAGACTTGATGGTAATTTTTTTCTTACCTATCTCTTATTTTTCTCCAGTCCATCCTGCTTAGATTATTGATATGGTTTGTCTGTGTCCCCACCCAAATCTCACCTTGACTTGTAGCTCCCCTAATTCCCATGTGTTGTGGGAGGGACCCAGTGGGAGATAATTGAATTATGGGAGCTGTTTCCCCCATACTTTTCTCGTGGTAGTCTCACAAGATCTGATGGTTTGATAAGGGGTTTCCCCTTTTGTTTGGCTGTCATTTTCTCTCCTGTCTGCTGCCATGTAAGATGTGCCTTTTGCCTTCTGCCATTATTGTGAGGCTTCCCCAGCCATGTGGAACTGTGAGTCCATTAAACCTCTTTTTCTTTTAAATTACCCAGTTTTGGGTATGTCTTTATCAGCAGCATGAAAATGGACTAATACAATTATTATCTCCAAACACTGCTCATGAACTAAAGGCTCAAGTTCAAATTTTATTTCGACATCAACATTACTTTGCAACCTTATTGTTTATTCTGTTGGTCTGCTAGGGCCACCATAACACAATCCCACAGACTGAAGGTCTTAAACAGTAGAAATTTAGTGTTTCTCTTAGTCATGGAGGCTAACAATCCCACGTCGAGGTGTGGGCAGTGTTGGTTTCTCCTGAGACCTTTCCTGTTGGCATGCCTCACACTCTTGTCTCTGTGCATGGGCTTCGTTTGTATCTCTTCCTCTTCTGAAGAGGACACCATTCCTGTTGGATTAAATCCCCATCCTTTTAACATCATTTAACCTGCTGGGCGCAGTGGGTCAGGCCTGTAATCTCAGCACTTTGGGAGGCCACGGGGTGTGGATCACCTGAGGTCGGGAGTTCAAAACCAGCCTGGCCAGCATGGTGAAACCCCGTCTCTACTAAAAATACAAAATTAGCTGGGTGTGGTGGTGCATGCCTATAATCTCAGCTACTTGGGAGGCTGAGGCAGGAGAATTGCTTGAACCTGGGAGGAGGAGGTTGCAGTGAGCCAAGATTGTGCCATTGCACTCCAGCCTCGGCAACAAGGGCTAAACTTCATCTAAAAAAATCACCCCAAAACGAACAACAACAACATAAACAAATCAAATAAAACATCATTTAACCGTAACTGCCTCTTCAAAGATTCTAGCTCCAAACACAGTCACAATGAGAATTAGACTTTAACATATCTATGTGGCAGTGAGAAGGGAGACACAAGTTAGTCCATCACAAAACCTCTTTATGTGATTCTAAGCGTGTTGAGAGAAAGCTCTGTGCAAGCCCAGCACTTTACAGACACTAGAGCCTCCCTAAAATGTTAGAGGAGGAGTAAATTCTCCCTTTCTGTTGGACTCAACTCTCTGATCAGAAATTCCCTGTTTCCCTCTATGCCTTTGCTTCTGTTGTGTCTCATGTGTAAAACTAGCCTCATTTTTCTCTGGCAATGTCATGTCTTCTCCACTTGACACTTCTACATTAAGGCTCACCTCTATAGGCCTTTGTCATGTCTTGTCCTTGACTGTGGTCTTTTTTTCCTTTGAATCTCAAAAATATCTAAAGTCCTTGCTACCCTTTTGGATCACCTGGGGCCTCGCCTCCTGCTTTGACCTTGCCATCTTAATGAGTCTGTGAGCTCCTTTAGAGAAGACACTCTCTAGATCACTGCTTCTCAAGTTTAATGTGTATATGCATCCCTGGGGACCCTGTGAAATGCAGATTCTGATTCTGTAGCGCTGAAAAAGAGATGCAGCCCTGGATTCTGCATTTCTAACAAACTCCTAGGTAAAGCTGCTGCCGCTGCTGCTGCCGCAAGCCTCAGTTTGAGTAGCCACGTGCTAGATTTCTTTGTCAAAAGCATCCTCTTTTCTCACATTTCCCTCACAGTCAAAAGCCTGCAGATATTTTTATAATGGATTATCCTCTATTGATTAACCTCCTGTTAAACTTCATGAATTAAATCAGCCTGGACTCAGGATGCTGGGCAGTGCAGAAAGCACCGTGATCTCTGGAGTTAATGGCAGGGAAGGGTAGCAAGTCCTTAGATATTTGTGTGGTTGTGTATTCTTTGTTAGGGAACCACAGGGTGATGGCTATAATAAAGCAGCGATTTCAATCAGTTAAAGTTCAATTTTCCTCCACAACGTGAAACTTTGCAGGACTCTGTTTCCAAGAGGAGGGTAAACACACACTGCTCTGGGTTGGATAGAGCAAGAAGGGAACATGTTGTGTTTATTCTTTGAAAACGCAGCACATTTACTTCATGGGAAATTATTTATCTCTTGGAATTTACTTTATTCTGAAAGAAAAATATAAATGTCTTTAGGGGATTTAGGTTTGCGCAGCCTATTCTTTTACTCTTGTCCTTCTCACTTTAGACATAAAATAACTTTTGATGCATTAAATTCTAATGAATAAGAACACATTTTAAAGCCCTTGCTTTGTATTTTATTCAGTGGCTGACTTTAGTTTCCTACAAAATGCTTTCTAAATTCAGTTTCTTATCATGGGTTCCATCCAGAATAAAATATACACTGCCCCTGGAGCACACCAGCTGTTTATGTACCAGGCCAATATATCTCAGGGAGAGGTCTGCGTGATGCATAGGCGATTATTTTTAAAAAAATAAAAATAAAAACCCAACTCAACATCAAGTATTTAGAGCTGCTCAGTGGGAAGAAAATGCAGAAAAGGAGAAAGGAAGGCAGCTTATTAATTAGCTCCTTCTGCTTTGAACTGTGAATTTCTATGCTGTTTTCAAGCCTTCTATTTTTACATATAATACTTCAGAGCATATTCTTGCATGTTTTAAAGTCAAATGGAAGAAAGATAGGGTCTAAAAAATGGAGATTTTTTTTGAATTAAATTATTTCCTAATATTTATCAGTAACAGGTTCTGGGAGGTGAAGAGCGTGTGTCTAGGTCACCACCTTTTCAAAGAATGAGTGGAGGATGAAGAGTTGTACAGAACAACCCACGGGCCTTTGTTCAGAAAGAGGGTCTTTTTCTAGGTATCCTGTCATCAGGGAATTCTTGCAGGGGATGTTCTCAGCCTGCCTTTAGCAAATTGCTGATATTGTGGTGGGCACTAACCATACCGCAGCTCTTAGGTTTGCTGTCAGTGGTTTTGACATCCATCCAATCAGGTGCTCAACAAAAACTCAGTTCCAAATCTGCTAGATGGTGCACGTCTAAGGACAAAGGGCTTGTGACCTTGCCTGGGGCTTCCTGTTAAGCAGCTTAAAGACACTGGTGGTGAAGTCAAACATGTCATGCTTGACAAATCTGTTTCAATGCCACAGTGAAGGAGGACATCATTGCCAGACTGGGGCTCGTCTTGAGCCTGATGGTTTTGGTCACATTCTTTGCCAGATCCCTGAAGGACACAGTGGGCTTGTTCATCTAGTTCTCAACCTTGCCAATTGCTGGAAAGTCAGCTCTGTTAATTATTGGCAAGAATGGAGTCCAGTGACAGCTTTCCCTTTCTCCTTGCCAATGAAGATAGTTGGCTCAGTATAAAGTTTTCCTGGGGCATGGATTTACGTGACGATAGAAGTCTTCGTCAGACGTGTTATCAGTACTATTTTTTTGACTCATTCCAAGTGTCTTGAGGGCTCAGGTCTCAACATATGAAAGTGTCTCTTTAAAAGCCTTGTGATTGATTCATTGATTGATTGATTCACTCATTCATTCATCCATCCATTCATCAAAAGTTTACAGAATACTTACTGTATCATAGAACCATGTATAGGACTTGTGTTCAAGAGGCTCACAGTTGAGAGAGGAAGGCAGACCCATAAAATGAAGACTAAAATAACAGTGTCATAGGTGTAAGGAGAAAACTCAGCTCCTTGGGGGAGATGGAAATCCTCATGGAGAGAGCTCTACATCAGAGTGCCAGAGGGAGGCAGGGCCACTGTATCCACCTCCAGGGGCACTATTCACACCGCAGGGTAGGTAAATGACACTTCCTGGAGATGTTTAAGGCATAGTCTACTCAACCTGCAGAAGGATAAGGGGAGATGGGTTTGCAGGAGAAGTTGATGTTAGCTAGATATCCAAAGGCTCAATATGATGCCAGGAGGATTGTGTCTGTGGGCTGCAGATGGAGGGCTGGGGGTGGGCAATGCGAAGTTGTAGTAGGAGAAAAAATTGATTACCAACAAATTGGTAATGTTAATAGGAACCAGATATTATGGGGTCTTGTCTGCCAGGCCAAGGAGTTTAGACTTTATTATTATGGAAATAAAGCTGAAGGATTTTCAGCAAGGTAGAGCCCTGTTTACTGGTGCAGCAGAGCAGTGGAATGGCAAGACCTTCTGCCTGTAGTCTCATTTGAAAGATTTTGAAGCCATCCCAATGCTGTGCTGCTCATTCCTGGCTCCCGAAGAGGACAGGGCAGGGTTCACATAGATCTGGAGAAGGAAATGCTGACCCCTGCCACCCCCCTGCCGCCCACACCCTGACACTTCACAGTTTTACTTGTGGCTGGCCCTTATCGTTAACTTAGTGGCTTTTAGTGATGCTCATAGCCTATGAAGTTGGAATTTTCCTAGAGTGCAAGAGAGCTTTCTCACCAGCTATCAGATTTCTTGCTGTTTCCTTAAGTAGAGCTGCATAAAACTCTGACCTAACCAGCCTTACCATCAGAGAGCAGCTTTATTGAATTTCTCTCTTCTAACCTTGCTTAATACCTTCAAGAGCCCAGACTACTGAAAATATAAAATGATACTGAAGGATCGATGAATACAAGAGGAAGTCTTGATGTTTTGCCTGTGCTTCTACTATCTATGAAATGCAGTAGAGCTGTGGCCAAGGTCTTATAGCACTGCAAGAAAGAGCTTGATTTGTAGGTTGCTGTTGCCCAAGCAATCTTGGCATTATGATAGCTTGAGTACTTAGAACCTGGATGATCATCTCCAGTGTGTGGGAAATCTCACTTAGGACTTAGGATTGGTCCACACTTTATCATTCATTTTCAACTTACGGTGAGATTGCCTGCATCAGAATAACTGGAGGGTGACCTTTAAAAATATGGATTCATGGATGCTGCCCCTAACCTGCTGGACCAGAATTTCTGTTGGGAAGCCTAGGAATCTATGTTTTAACAAACTCTGCTGTCTGAGTGATTTTATAGTCATGAAGTTTTGAGAGTACTGCACAGCTGTTCCTATTGATGTTGATATGCAGTCTATATCATCAAAATGTCTTGCTGATATATTTTGTGGAGCTCTTTGTTTACTAGGGTTTTATGTTGGGTTGTTGTCATTAAGATTATTATATTCAGTTAAAAGATACTGTACATGGAAAGACTTACATATCCTCTATTTACTTAATAATTGTTGGAACCCATTCCTGGATATCATCACGTGTGTATTTTGTTGACAATTCCATTGTCACGGTACATGTTATGTAATTCTCTAATTCAAACTTGACAACCAGTTAGCATGTATAGAACAAGAAACTGAAGCCCCTTTTATGCCCTACTGATGAAAGACCTTTCCTGGAGATGTGGCCACAATCCAAGGGATGCTGGCAGCTACCTGAAACCTGGAAGAGACTGGAACTGATTTTCCCCTAGAGCCTCCAGAGAGAACGTGGCCCTGGGAACACCTTGATTTTGGCTTAGTGAAGCTAATTTGAAATGTCTCTCCTCTAGAACAATGGGATAATAAATTTCTGTTGTTTTACACTACCACAGGTAATTTGTTATAGCAGCCACAGGAAGCTAATAGGTCTGGGAATATTAGTTTCTGACTGGCCAGATTTCTAGGGAAAATATTTTCCAAAGGAGGAAACTATATAGTATTTAAGTACATTTATAACAGCAACTTAACACTGTTATATGACCATCACTGAGATATATAGCTGAGGGGGTCTCTTGAAGTTCTAATTGAGGGAATACAGCAATACAAGAGCTAACCCTTATCTGATTATCTCCATATGAGTCAACATTTATAGGAAACCCTGGAGGAGTCACCTCTAGTCACCAAAACTCCCCAACATTGCTGCTTCATGCTTGACAACATTCTGACCTATGATGATTTATTTAAAGCAGGACTCTGACTTATTTAAAGAAGGACTCAGAAGAAGCCATCCAGAATTTGCTGGTATTAAACGATTTTATAAGTAATGACATGTTTTACCAAACCATACAATGATTAATTTCATAGAAAGGTATATACCAAAATATTAGGATGAAAACAATAAACGTAAATTCAGAGACAAAGTTTCACTCACTGTGAATTGGGAAACAATTCTCCATGGGCCTCTCATATCTCCTACGTCATGAGAGCAGAGGCCCTGACTGCTTTGGTTTTGAACTATCTTTTCAAGGATGTTTATATAGAAAACAGTCTCAGAAAATAGAGAATAGTGTCTCCATTCAGATCCAGGGAGGTTTGTTTATAACCTTGGATGGTAGAGAGAATATTTACCTTGAAATAAAAGGTGTGCATGCTTGTCTGTTTTAAAAGATTTGTGTTACCTAATCTCTGGGTGCTTCTTCTGTAATGCAACCTACAGTGTGCAGGCATCAGTTGGACCTCTCCACTTCACCCCGGGTTATTCAGTTTCTCCAGAGAGACAAAACCAATAGTACCCCACTGTGCGTGCACACACACACACACACACACACACTCACACGCACACACACAGACACACACGATTTATTAGGGGAATTGGCTCATGCAATTATGGATGCTGAGAAGTACAATTGGCCATCTGCAGGCTGGACACTCTGGGATGCTGGTAGTTTGACTCAGTTCAAGTCTGGAAGCCTCAAAACCAGGGAAGCTGATGGTGTAATTCTCAGTCTGAGGCCTAAGGCCTGAAAAACCAGGGGGTCACTGGTGTGTGCCCTGGAGTCCCAAGGACAGAAAGCCTAGAGTTCTCATGTCCAAAGGCAGAAAGAAGAGAGTGTCCTAGCTCCAGAAGAGAGAAAGAGTAAATTCTTTTCTGTCCTTTTTTTGTTCTATCTGGGCCTCCAACTGATTGGATGGTGCCTGCCAGATCTTCCCCACTCAGTCCACTGACTCACAGCCCAATCTCCTCTGAAACACACCCTCACGGACACACCCAGAAGTAATACCTTACCATTTCTCTAGGTATTCCTTAATCCAATTGACACCTAAAATTAATTGCCACATAGCAAAGGGGAATTAAGGCTTGGGGGACTGGTGCAGAGGCTGACATTCTGGCTACTACTTTTGCTGTGAGTAATAAAGTTCCATGATCCAGGGGTTTTTCAGCTTCTTTCAGCACCCATGCAACTGTGGCAGGGTAATTGTTAGCTTGAAAATAGGATACAATCCCAGACTCTTCGAAGTTTTTGATAATGTGCCTTCAGGAAGAGCAATTGTGGAGGCACACATTCTCATTTATAATTGAGAGTTCTTCCTCTTGGCTCCGTAGGTAAACAATGTACATCCTATTCACACTACCCAGAATTCTCTTTCTGAGACCTGGTGATCTAATAATAGATATCTGTTTATGTACTTCTATATATACACCCACATATGTGGGTGTATATATATATTTACCTGTATATATATTATTATGTGTACATATATAACATGGTATAGACCATGTATATATTCTTCATCATGACCATGTATATGTATACACATATAATTATATATATACACATATATAGGTAAATATAAGCACACACACACATACACACTTTTATATATATTTGTCTGTATAGAGGTGTATATATGTGTGTATATATAAACATGTACATTTATATGTGTGTACATATATTAATATATGTATATGTGTATATAGATTAATATATATGTGTGTATACAAAGATATATACATATTTTAAACTTCTAAAAAGTTCTTAAAACAGACTTTTAAACTTACAAGTAACAATACTGACAACTCTTAAATTTTCAGCTACGTTTCTTTCATGATTGAGTCAACATATAGAATATTGTATTTACCAAAAGGATAACCCTCTGTCTCTCCTAAAACAAAAAAGTTTTTTAGCTTTGCTTTTGATCAAGAATTCAACCCCAAATAAATTATAAAAATTTGTTAAAAAATAAAAACCAATATGAAAAATTTAGGGACTTCAATTTATTAGCAATTATTAGCAAAATTATTCTCTAAGCCCCATAGAAATGCAGTTTAGGAGGAAATGCAAATATGGCACACACTATATCCTTAATTACATCTGCAAAGTCCCTTTTGCCTTGTAAGATAACATTTACAAGTTGGGAGGATTAGGGCATGGATAACTTTCAGGTGTCATTATTTTGCCAACCACAGTCCCTCCCTTTGGCCCCCAAAGATTAATATTCATACAACATGCAAAATACATTCACTTCACCTAAAGGTCTCTAGAAGTCTCAACCCATTATAGCATCAACTTAAGTCCAAAATCTCATCTACAAATCATCAACTCAGAAGTTGCAAATCTCATTATCTAAATATTCTAAGTTCAGTCCAGGTGAGGTTCTGGGTACATTTCATTCTGAGGCACAATTTCTTTCAATATGAACCTGTGAAAAATTATCAGCTCCCAAAATACAATGATGGGACAGGTATAGGATAGCTGTTATAGACATCTAGGTGAAATGAAAGAAAAATGGAAGGAAAAAAGGAGTTATCAGTCTCAAACAATTTAGCAATGTACCTGGGAACACTGCATGAGGTTTCAAGGCTTGAGAATAATCTTCTGTGGTTCATGCCTCTGCTCTCTAAAATCATAACTCTGAACTCTGGGATCACAGCTCCACCCTCTGTGTTCTTGATTCTCCCCTTAGAGATATGTGTGCTGGTTAATTTCCTCATATTTGTATATTCCCAAATTTCCATTTGTTATTTCATTGCATTATGGTTGTATAACATGCATACAGATATTCCTCTGTTACTACCTTCTTTGTGTTACATAGATATTTTCTTGTGTTCCATTTTATTTTATTTTTGTTTCTCTTACTATATTATCTTTAATTACTTTCTTAGTTGTCACCCTGGGGTTCAAAATTAACCTCTTAATTTAAAGCAATCTATTTTGGAGTAACATGAGCTTTGTTTTAATAGTATATAGAAACTGTTTTGCTATATAGCTCCATTCCCTTTTTCCTCTGTTGTGCTCTTATTATCATACAAATTACATCTTTATACATTTGTATCCATCACCACAGTGTTCTTATTGTTTTATACAGTTTTAGTTGAGGTAGAAGAATTAGAAATGAAAATGCATTTTTTACTGACTTTACAGTTACCTATGTAAATGTACATTTACCTATTTTTATTTCTTTGTATGTATTCTAGTTACTGTCTAATGTTCTTTAATTTCAGGCTGAAAGATTCTGTTTAATGTTTCTTAAAGTGCAGGCCAGCTAGTAACTAATTCAGTTTTTCCCTATCTGGGAATGTATTTCCTTCTTAATTTTAGCTTTGCTGGGCATAGAATTCTTGGTTGACAGTCTAATAGTCTGGTATTTTATATCTGCTATTAAGTTTCCCTAGTGAACGTTTTCAGTAATTATTATAATTTTCAATTCCAGAATTTCTATTTAGTTATTTTTTATAATTTGTATTTCTTTCTTTTTCTTCCTTTTCCTTTTTTTTTTTTGAGATGGAGTCTCTGTCACCCAGGCTTGAGTGCAATGGCGTGATCTCAGCTCACTGCAACCTCTGCCTCCCGGGTTCAAGTGATTCTCCCACCTCAGCCTCCCGGGTAGCTAGAACTACAGGCGCATGCTACCACACCTGGCTAGTTTTTATATTTTTAGTAGAGACGGGGTTTCACTATGTTGGCCAGGCTGGTCTCAAACTCCTGACCTCGTGATCCACCTGCCTCAGCCTACCAAAGTGCTGGGATTACAGGCATGAGACACTGCACGCAGCCTAATTTGTATTTCTTTAATGATATTCTATATTTGGTAAGATAGAATTCTCACACCTTCTTTCCATTGTTCTTAGCACATGAATTAAAAAAAATTTAGCCATATTTTTATAGCTGTTTTAGACTTTGTTTAGTAAGTCCAAAATCTGAACTTCCTCAGGTACCTTTTTTATTAACTTCTCTTTTTTTTTGTTTATATGTATCATCCTTTCCCATTGTTTTTGCATATCTCATAAATTTTTGTTGAAAACTGAACATTTTAAGTAATAAAGCAAGTGTGGAAATCCAATTTCCCCACCTCCGCACCACATTCTGTGAGTTTTTTGTTTGTGTGTTTGTTTAGTGACTGTTTTTTGTTTCATGAATTTCCTGGACTGAATCTGTATTCTTTATCACTTGCATCCACTGATGCTTGGTGTGTTCAGTTAGCTTACTGGTCAGCTAATGAATGCAATCAATAAGTCTCCCAGGCTTTGCAGAGGAGTTCTCCTCTCTCTCTCTCTCTCTCTTTCTCCGTGTGTGTGTGTGTGTGTGTGTGTGTGTGTGTGTGTGTGTGTGTTGGGGCATGCCTTCAATGCTTTCACAGGCAACTCACAGGTCCGCCTTAGCTTTCACTTCCTGCTTGCACAGCCCTCATGGTCAGTCAGAGATGAGAGATAAGGACCTTCTCAGATCTTTCCTGAGTACGTAAACAGTCTTCCACATGCGCCTGGCCAGCCCTCTAAATTTCCAGATATGGGGCCTTTAAAAGCACTCTGTGGACGTTTCATTTCCCACTTTTTTACTTTATATGTTTTGGTCACCTTCTTGTTAGTTCCAACTGGAATTACTGCCTCAGGCACCTGTACTATTAAACAGTTACTGCTAATGGTTTTTTTTTTTTTTTTTTTTTTTTTTTTGGTGAGACGGAGTCTCTGTTGCCCAGGCTGGAGTGCAGTGGCGCGATCTCTGCTCACTGCAAGCTCCGCCTCCTGGGTTCACACCATTCTCCTGCCTCAGCCTCCTGAGTAGCTGGGACTACAGGCGCCCGTTACCACGCCCAGCTAATTTTTTGTATTTTTTAGTAGAGACGGGGTTTCACCATGTTAGCCAGGATGGTCTCGAGTTCCTGACCTCGTGATCTGCCTGCCTCGGCCTTCCAAAGTGCTGGGATTACAGGTGTGAGCCACCGCGCCTGGCCACTGCTAATTGTTTTCTACAAATGCTTGCACAGAGTGAGCTCTGAGTCAGGTCAAAAAAAAAGATAAACGCTAAGAATAAGGCTTTTCAGGGAGGTAGCAGACAGGTCAAATAGAGACAGTTCTCTGGGGATGAGGCTTTTGGAGAGCTTCAACCCCATTCTGCCCTATCCAGGGGCTGTTGGGCTGCTGGTTTTCATAATTTGGAAATAAACCAAATTAAAACACCACAGCACTTGCTGTTCTTACTGAGATTCAGTTGTTTTTCTGGAATAATGCTCTTAACATTGTTGCAAGGTGCTGGTTAATTTTCAGCATTCTGAAAAAGTCGACCATTTTTGCAAGTGTTGTTTTGCTTTAATGGAAGAATGAATTTTCAGAGGTTTTTACTCGCCATTCTGCCATTCTAGAAGTATATATATGTATTTTATTTTGCCTTACTAAGCTTTATTCATCATTTTGGACACAGGTTGGATGTCAATTCTACTAGGACATTTCTATGCTCTTAACATTTGTGTCTCTCCTAGATCTCCTAAAATGCCTTGTGGTTTACACACTGCATTTTAAATTACCTGTTTCTTATCTCTGTGCTCTAAACTCCTAGATGCAGCGATCACGTTCTGCTCACTCTTATCCCCAGTACCTAAGAAAATGCCTGGGACACTGGACACTACTAACTATTGTTGAATGAATGAATTCCTTTGACATATTTTTAAAATTTTCTAGCTTAAATAACCCATTAAATACCTAACAGATATAGTTTTGCTTGCCTCATTCAAAGTTTTAAGTCTTTGCGTTATTTGGGTCATATTTTATGTATTTATAGACTGAAGGTGTTCTTCACAACAAGATGGACATTTGCCTGTGTTTCCAGGTTTCATAAGCAATTCACTTGATTCTAAGAATTTTCAATTTTTTTTCTTTCTTCTATTCTCTCCTTATGTCCATCTTGACAAAAGAATTACCAAGATCAGACATAAAAAGATAAAGTAAACTAAAAATAGTCTTAGTAGTGTTTTTGGAATAGGAAATGGAAAATCATTCTCTTTTCCCTTGGTGATGAAGGGGTGGTGTTTATAGGCTGATTACATGAAGATGAGTTTCATGTTTTGTTTCTTTTTTAAAAAAATTCTAGCACCCACAGCAGGGTTCCTTCACCAGAAATCCTTGATTGAGGAGCTAAAGGCAATGAGAAATAAGTGTGGCTGCTAATTAGACACTTTGAGTGAGCAGAAGGGGAAAACGAGCCATATAGAACAGCAGGGACTGCCCATACTCTTGATATGTGACAACTCAAGATTTTAAACTGTAGAGGCAATAGTCATACTGTTCTCTCTGGACAGTTTTAATTTGGGAGTCTTGACAGGCCAATGAAAATACTGGATAAATCAAGTAAAAAAATAAATCATTAAGACAATACTCCATTCTTTTATTTTTGTGAAGGACTTATTTTTATTTTTTAAATTAAACTTTGTTTTTAATCAGTTTTATTGATACATAATAGATGCACATAATTTCAGGGTCATGTGATAATTTAATACAATCACATAATTTGTAAAAATCAAATCAGTGTAATTGGGATATCATCATCTTAAGTATCTGTCTCCTCTCTTCTAGCTGTTTTGAAATACACAATAGATTATTGTAAACTATGGTCCCCCTACTCTCTTTCAAACACTAGGTCTTATTTCTTCTATCAAACTGTGTATTTGTACCCATCAACACCCCATTCTTCAGCGAGCATTCCAAACAGTATTGTCAAAATACCTGGATGTTGAGTCTGATATGTCTAATGTGTTCTTCTATGTTATATATAACAAATTCATAAGAGTATGATATTGATATTTTAATTAACTGCTTTCTTTCTTTTTCATGCTTTTTTAAAATTACTGAAACAGTAGCTGACTATTAACAGCCTAAGAGCAAAATAACATTGTGATTCAGCCTAATACAGTTCCTTAGAATGCGGCCCTGTGACCCATCTGGTGATCTTTGTTCTGTATCACTCTGCTCAGCAAGCCTACATGTGGAACTGATGCACTTAAATTTCTCACATTTGTAACACTGCCTCAGCACGGGAAGATTAGTAATCAAGCCAAACACTAGAAGGTAAAACAACATGTATATTTTCTTCTGTGAGTCATCCATCCAGTAAATAACCCATACAACTAGAAGAGGAGCACACAGCAAATACAGTAAGCTTGAAACAAAGGTTTCAAATACAGGGTGTCAAACATTTCATACAATTCAAAGAACAGCCATTTATTCAGATTTTTTTAAACATGCCTGATGAACCCTCAGATGCTTTAACTGCTTCCTTTTTGTTTGTTTTTGATATATTGTCAAAAGGTCTAGCATATTAGTTACATTGGCAGAATTTTCAGATATAGTGACTGGTTTCTTTTTATTTGCCAACAAATTAACAATAATAATTAGAACTTAACTTTCTCTTATGTTGATATAATGTATCCTGATTTGTAGGATTTTACTATTAGGCAAATTTATATAATCATGTTAGGAAACTTAATTTCTAAATCATCCCTTTTTTCCCCTTAGCATTGATTGATGAGTTTTCAAGTAATGTATTTCAAGTAATAGGAACACACCTATTCTTGGTCTAGAAACGTCAATGTTCAGACTTGCCTTAGATTTTGTGCTGGATTCAGACATACTGCCTGAAAGCAAAACAAAACAAAAAAACCCTAAAAAATGCAAATCTAGTCGTAAAGCTTCCCACATCTTGGATATGAGGAAAACAAATTATCATTTCAAATAAATTTTTAGTTCAATTTTCAATCTAGTGGAACAATGTTCCTTTGTGTTCCAACAGTGGCTTGGCATGCATATTAGCTGAACAAGAATAACAGGAAAATACAGGGGAAAATTCTACTGGTTTTTAGTTCATGAGAACAAATGAAGAAAGCTCTGTCCCCACATATTCTATCTCAGCTGTCAAAGTTAGAGCCTGCGTGTTGACCCACTATTTGCAAAAGAAAGTAAGTTTTAGCTGAAACAATGCAATCCTCAAGATCACACCATAATTAGAGGCTTTCAATTTTATATTATCTATATCCTGTGTGAATGTGTCTGTCCACCAGAGTCTGCACTGCTATTCTGGCAGCACTGTCTGCTCAGTAGTCCTGAGTGCTGCACACATAGGACGTGGCGCTGCTGAATGGTAATCCGGAATTCACAAAATGCTGACGGAGGCAGTAAACTGATAGTCACTGACGTGACTTTCAAAAAACTGCTCTATGAAATCATGAAGTGGAACCATGGAGGCTAATTAAACTCTTCTCAAACTTTCTGGTTGAGATATTGATTCCAATCAGAAGTTAGCTATACTTCCTATTAAAAGGTGATTCAGAAACTGAAGACATTTCCCTTCAGTTCTGTTCTTCAAGATAAAGAAGCTGAAAATGCCTTCTAAATAGTGACGCATCACCCATAAAGATGGCCCTTAAACTTGAGATCAGGACAAAACATATCTAACTCAAAGTCATCATTCAGACGCCACCTCTTCCATTAACTATGTGGTAGTCTATAATTAAAACAACACTTAAACCAACACAAAACTTTCCAAAAAGAGAACTTATCATCTAGAATTTAATTCACTTTCTGTAAGATGGATTCCCATCTTCACAGCATGTTATCTATTTCATAAAAACTGGGGCATGTATATTCCCTTCATTAACATGTTTAAGAATTAAAATGACGTTTTAGTGTTTTATTTATTATTATCTTTAAAAGTTGCAAGCATTAATATTGTATTACATAGTTTCTACTTTTAGTCACGGATTTATTAAATAAAAGGCTTATACAAGTAAATTACTCAGTTTTTATAACCATCAATTTATGTGACTAAATCTTCTGATCTTATAAACAGGCTATGGGCATTGTAACTCTTTAACAATTGATTTTTTTTTCAATATTGAAATGAGATTGTGAAACATTGACAGTTAGATGAGTCTCTAGAATTTCAAAACAAGGATATGGATTCTTAAAGCCTAAAAGAATTTACACAACTCCCTCAGTAACTTAATTTAAAAGCAGGACATAAAACTCAGGAGGAGAAAAAGAATTCAATGTGTGGAAAGGAAAAGTGAGATAAGATGAAAGGATCATCCAAGGCAAACAACTTCAGACAAAGAATGTTTCATTTCAAAGCTATGAAATCTCAGCCATGAGGGAGAATTGTTGAAGGAGGAAATAAACATTAAACAGAATGAGAAAGGCTATAGAACTGAAGGGGCCCTAGAAACATTGGTGGGTGGGGCATAATGGGGAGAAACACATTTCCTGCCCAGTAGTCAGATTTCCTGTTGCATCTTTCCCTTCCCACTGGTCTTCCTTTCTCCACCTGCATGCTCTCTCCCTCTCTCCCTCTCCCACCTCCTCTTCTCTCTCTCTCTCCCTTTCTTTCTTCCCTTTACCTGGCATGGCTTTGCTTAGTGGAAATTGGAGTGCCAAATATGTACTAAGTCTGTAACAGAACGAAAACTGGACTTGAAATAAGAAGAATGGTGTTTAGTTCCAGCTCTGCAGCTTACAAGCTATGTGACCTTAGATAGGTCCCTCAACCTCTGTGAGTTTCAGTTTTCCCTGCTGCTGTGTCTACTGTTCAGGAATGTTGTGAAGCACAACAAAATGATACATGTTAGAGTGTTTCATTAACCATAAATGAGAATTATCCAAATGCAGCTATAACTATTTCTATTTCATGTTTGAATGTTGCCTTATAATTGCTTTGATAGTTTTCATATTCCTCCTATAAGAATATAAAAATTTCTTGGGGTGATCACTGTCCCTTATTCTCTTAGTGGTTTGTGCAGAGTAGAAGCAACGATTTTTTAAATTGAAATAACCATATGAAATAATAATACAATGATTTCAGGTCACATAAGCCCTTGTGTTATCAAATTGTAAGGTCAGGGAGAGAGGCCAAAGTATTCCAAAAGGCAGCCCCTGGAGCCCCAGCCACAGGAGTGGCTCATATTCCCGGATTCATCCTCCCTTAGGATTCCGGTCTACACGTTCAGCCAATTTTAGCTTCCTCGTTTCTCTTAGAACGTCCCACATTGCCCTAAAGTGCTGACTTTCCTGGTATGTCCATAACTGGGTTCTCTTCTAGCAGATTATACCTTTCTAAAATTAGACAATACTAGGCATACAATAGTATTGTTTTCTGTTCCTTTTTTAAGTTCCTAACTTGTTATAGTCTGCTTATGCCATTTTAAAGAGGAAACATGCCACTATTTTTGCTGTTCCTGACTTCTTTGGAAATACATTCATTTTTATTTTATTCAGTGAAAGAAAATATATACTCTTCATTTCTTGTTACTAATTAACTGAATTATTATATGCTTGCAGGCATTTTGCTGTGCAGAATTAGGATGTCTAGGAACAGTTTCAAAGACAAAGAAAATAGAGAGAGCTAAAAAATCCTGTGCTGCTTTTGACCTGGGTTACCATAACAGAACGAATATATGCTGCTGAGGCTTAAAACACCTCAGCTTTCAACACTCATAAAATTCCAATATCACAGGGTGCTGCAACTTGCATGCATGGAGCAGTCAAGGGGTTAAGCAAGCTTTCTATTTTATGGGCCTTTAAATCCTAAGTGATGTTCTGTGTTGCACATTACGAGGGCAGCCATGAAAGGGCATATATAACATTTTTTTTTTTATTCTTCACACCACCTGAGTAAGATTTTGAAAGCTGGGTAACATCCCAGGAGCAAGAAAAGCATAAAAGCATTCACCAGACACAGAAGGTAGACTAGATGCATTAAGATTAGTCACCACTTAAAAGAATATATGTGCATGCGCACACACATGTACATGTGCACACAAAAAGGAAACAATTTCAGAAAGGGTTCAGCTTTGCTTTTATAAGAAAAATATGTGAGCTCTAAAACACTTAAAAGAGGTTTTTTATATCAGGGTTTCTGTATAACTTGGGAATGCTATCAGATATGAAAATATCTATTTAAGTTATATTTCTAAAGATATGGTGGAATCATTGTTTCTTGGTTCATATAAATTTTTGAACCAAGAATTCAAATATTCTTGGCTGTATATGAGTCATCCTTATGGTTTTGCTTTAAAATAAAGTTTTACATTTCAAACCTTGCTAAATGCTAAATTCCTTGAGATAAAATATTTCCTGAGCTTTCTGGATGTACATTTTATAACTGATTTTTTGTAATTCATATTAGTGTATAATTACTGAAGCAATAATCTATAAAAATATATTCACATTATGCATTTGAAAGCATTCGCTTTAGGGATTGAGCAATTATAATAGGATACAGGTGTAGGGGGATGAAATTTATACAAATATCTGTGTATAATTCAAAGCATCTCCTTTTTTGTTTTGTAAAAGCAAATCAACAATGGAGTGTGCCAAAATGCTTAACGTATAACAATAGCCAAAATCCATCATCTTTTAAATGTAAGATAGTATACACACACATTAGAAATACGCATGTCCAACTTTTCTTCATAATTAGAAACAATTTTAACTTGGACCTATAGCTAATGAAAAAAATTGTGGTGTTGGTTGTTCTGTATTAGATATAACTAAAACACACTATTTTAATTAAGTGGTTCAAGTTATCTTCCTTTATTGGGCAGGGAAGCTGCAGAATAATATTGCTTCAGACTCAAATTTGTGAAAATTGAGTACAAAAATAATCAGGCTGTGAAATAAGAATCATAATAGTGCAGAGCTTTTAAGACTGTAATTAAGTATAAAATAATTATTGCAAATTACTTAGCATAGTACTTAGTATAAAACATGTACTTTATAAATTTAGCTATTTTTATTATTAGTTATTATTGATTTACCTATTAGTGAAATGAGGATAATATCTATCTCTCAGTGGTTTCAGTAGGATTAGTGATATATATCATACGCTTCTCCTGCATCTATTTAAATTATTACATGGTTTTTTCACCTTTAATCTGTTAATATGGTGTATTACATTAATAGATTTGCAAATTTTAGCCCTTCTTTCATGGTATAAATTCAGTTTAGGTTATGTTCCATTATTCTTTAATATACCGGTAGATTCAATTTGATTATATTTTGTTTAGAGTCTTTGCATCTGTATGAATGAAACTAGACTTTAGTTTTTCTTTCTTATCTTGTTTGTTTGTTTTGGTGTCATAGTATTTAATAAAATATATTGGGAAGTTTTTCATTTTTCTATTATATGGAACAGATTATTTAAAAAAGGAATGAGTTGTTTTTTGATTATATATTAGAATTTTAACTATTCAACTTCATTATATAACTTTTTAGACTTTTAAATTTCCTGTTGAGAGTTTTGCTAAATTATGTTTTTCTAGGAATTTGCCAAGTTTTCATTAATTTTTAAAAGTATTGGCATGAATCTGTAAAAAAAGGTGGACATAATAAAATGCGCACCTCAGGGTATTTTATGTCATGAGGATTAAATGAAGTGATAAATATATAAAGGACTTAGAACAAGCCTAAGGCTTATCAAACATTCAATAAATGTTACGTATTATTATCAATACTATTGCCTTTTAAATCTCTGCTCTATTTGTAGTTATATTCTATTCTTCATTCCTAATATTAATGTGTCCCATCTTTCCTTGTTTGAGCTTATTGCAGCTTTCTTGATTTTTATCAGTCTTTTCAAAAAACCACTTTTATTTTGGAATTGTTGATTTCTTCTACTACATTTTCTTTTCTTTTTCTAGTTCATTAATTTTTGCTTTTATTTTTTAAAGGTTTTCATTTATACTTCTTTGCTTCTCTCATCCCTGATGTTTCTATCTTCTTATATAATATGCTTAGCTCATTAAATTTTAGCTTTTGTCTTTTCTAAATATATGTTTTTGAGGATACATGTTTCCCTTTAAGAACTTCATTAGTTACAGCCAACCATATTTTTTCCATTGTATTAAGGATAAAAACACGTGGTAAAGTGAATAAAATGCACTGATCTTAAGCAAACAGTTCAAACAATATATATATATTTATATATATACACACACATACACACTATATATATACACACACACAAAAAGAATATATGTATACGCGCACACACACACACACACACACACACACACACACACACACAAGCTTTATTCATGATAGAAAAATAATTCTGGAAAGAACCAAATGTCCACTAAGATAATGGATAAAGTATAGTATACTGATACCAGTAAAAAAGATGATTCTTTTACACACACAATAAGGATAAATATCACAAATATTGTTTGGGGCTAAAAAGACAGATACAAGAGACTATATACTGTATGATAATATTAAAAAGTAAAGAAAAAGCAAGAACTAATCTATGGTGATAGAAGTCACTATAAGGGTTCTCTCAGAGTAGAATGTTATTGACTGGGTTTGGATATGGAGGAGATTTCTGGGTGCTTGAAATGTTTCATACCTTGATCTGGGTACATTCAGGTGTTTATATATAGACAGAGTCTGCTTCATATATACTTCGATCCGGGTACATTCAGCTGTTTATATATAGACAGAGTCTCCTCATATATGATAATATAGTATATAGTCTTTTGTATCTGTCTTTTTAGCCCCAAACAATGTTTGTCATATTTATCCTTATTGTGTGTGTAAGAGATTCATTCTTTTTTACTGGTATTGGTATACCACAATATACCATATTTTATCCATTCTAATGTTAGTGGATATTTGGTTCTTTCCAGGATTATTTGTCTATCATGAATAAAGCTGGTTATAAATTCTTGTACATGTCATTTAATGGACAAATTCATCCCACAAACTTTGCTATATAGTATTTTGATTGTAATTCAGATTTCAGTGTTTTTAAATGCGCATTCAAATGTGTTTTAAATGTGTGTAATTCAGATTTCAGTGTTTTTAAATGTGCATTCGAATTTTTTAAACACATGAGTTGTTTGTATGTGTGTATATACATGTATATATTTGTATATTTATACAATATACATATTTACATTTACAAACATATTTTGTTGCTGTTTTTAGTTATCTGCTTTGTTGTTCATTTCAAATCTAATTGCATCATGAACAGAAAACATGATTTGAATAATATGAATTTCTTAAAATCTGTGGAGACTTACTTTATGATCAATTGCTGTAAATGGCTAAAGTATGCCTGAAAAGAATGTGTATTCTCCATTTGTTTAAGTATATTGTTTGTCATATATCCTTTACATCGTTTTTTTTTTTTTATATCATTCAAATCTTTTATATTTGTTTCAGCTTAATGACAATGAGAGAGGTATATTAAAACCTCACACTGGGCTGGATGCAGTGGCTCATGCCTGTAATCCCAGCACTTTGGGAGGCTGAGGCTGGTGGATCACCTGAGGTCAGGAGTTCGAGACCAGCCTGGCCACTATGGTGAAACCCTGTCTCCACCAAAAATACAAAAATTAGTCGGGCATGGTGGCTGGCGCCTGTAATCCCAGCTACTTGGGAGGCTGAAGCAGGAGAATCTCTTGAACCCAGGAGACAGCAGTTGCAGTGAGCCGAGATTATGCCATTGCACTCCAACCTGGGGCACAAGAGCAAGACTTAGTCTCAAAAAAAAAAAACAAAAAACCTCAGTGATGATGACTTTTTCTATTTCTCCGAATTGTGTTAATTTCTGCTTTATATAATTTGAAACTCTTCTATTAGGCTTTTACAAGTTTAAAATGATTATATCTTTGATGAATTCAACTTTTACTGAAACCTCTGTGTTTCTATGTCCTCATCTGTGAAATGGAGATAAAATGTATTTCATCAAGTTTTAAGAGGATTGAAATAGTTAATGTTTGTAAAACTTATAATCTTGTCTGAGTGTTATATATCTTTGGTGAATATATCATCATCTTTCTATATCTCTAGTAATACTTTCTTCTTTGAAGTCTGTTTTTAATATTACATTATAAACATGATTTCTTTTGTTAGTATTTACCTGGTGCAAAATTTTCCGTCCTTATACCTTCACCTTTGCTGTGTCTTAATGTTTTAAGTGAGCACCTTATAAACAGGATATAGCTAGAGATCTATGTCTATGTCTATGTTTGTATCTCTATATATTTCTCTACCTTTTTGGGTCTAACAATCAATGCCTCTTTATATCGATTATTAGAGCTGTATTTACATTCACTTCTAGGATGTTATTTTGTGTTTTACAGCTGTCATTTACTTTCTTTTCTCTCCTTCTTCACTTTTTGTGATTAATCGGCTTCATGTAGTCAATCATATTATTACTCTTCACTTATTTCAATTTCTACTCTTTTGTGGTTAATGATATTTTTTAAAGTGTCAGAGAAAAAACTGTTAACTTAGATTGTAAAACTCCCTCTAAAGACCAAGATGGAAATAAAAAGAAGTTTAGACAACAAAACAAAACATTATTAGAATTTTATAATCCATACCCAGCCTAACAAAATCTAAAGTTAATCAGGATAGTTTTACCAATCTCCAGAGCAATACATGGAGCTCAAAATGCTTTTTCTGCCACCTCACTGTTAATATAGGATAATAAAACGATACTTGTCCAGTAGAGAGCTGCATATTGTTTCGAATAACTCCACAAATTAGACAGAATATGTATTTAAATTTACATATATGTTTACCAATCTATTTGCTCATCATTTTTTTGTGTGTGTCATCCGTTTCTTCTGGAAACATTTTCCTACTTCCTTTAGAAGTTCTGAGAGTGAATACATTTTTATTTTGTTGTCTAAACTTCTTTTTATTTCCATCTTGGTCTTTAGGCGTAATTTTACAATCTTAAGTTGACAATTTTTTTTCTCTCACACTTTAAAAATGGTATTCTATTGGCTTATGGCTTTCACGATTTCTGTTTAAAAATGGGATAATTGTCATAATCTTACATGGGATCTGTTTTTCTCTTTGACTACTCTTAAGATCTTTTCTTTGTGTTTTGTCTTCCATTTTATTATGATGTGACCAGGTTGGGTTTGTCTTTTATTTATCCTACTTGATTTCTATCGTGCTTAATGAATAATACATGTTTTGTCTCTCATCAATTACAGAAAATTCTCAGCTATTTTTAAAATATTGCCTTTCCTCCATTGCTTTGTTCTTTTTCTATAATTCTGAGTAAGCATGTTTTAGACTCTCTCATTCTTTGCTCTATGACTTTTAACCTTTCTTTTTCATTTTCCATTTTGATTGTTTCTCTGGGCTGCTCTGTGCTCAGTAATTCCTTCAGCTCTATCTTCCAGTTCACTAATTATCTCTTCAGCAAAATCTAACATAGTTCAACAATTAATGTTTTAATTTCATTTTTTATATTCATAACATAAATTACACATTTCATTGTATTATTATATTTTATGTTGTATTTTCATGTATATTATAATGTTTCCATTTCACTGTTACCATTTATATATCTTTTTTACTTCTAAACATTTTATTAAGTTATTTTTCAAACTCACTGGTTAAATTGATAGTCTCTTCTTTGTTATATTTTAAATTATATCTTATATTTCTTTATGTGTAGAGGAGAGAGAGGCAGTTTCTGGTGAAAAGTGGAAAACCTGCTAGACAAATTATAAAAGAGCCATAACATTCATATCTTATACTTCTTAAAACATTATATATGTGTTTTTTTGTTCTGTGCCTGTTAAGTCCACTATCTAATATCTTTTAGGTTTGATTCTTCTGTTATTTCTCCTGGTTCTTGCTTATGTGCCATTGTCATTCATGTGTATTATAGAGTTTTTTTTGTTTTTAAATAAACCTTTCTAATTAGACCTTTATTCATGGGAATTACTTGAGGCTTGCCTTGGGGACGCATTCCCTCTAATAGGTTTTGTATTTGTTCTTGCAAAGTCCCTGGGGCATCTCTAGCCCTGGATCATTTTTAACTACTTGTTTGGCTCTGGATTTTAAAAATATCATTACCTAGAGAAGGCTGGCTAATGGAAGGTCAATGGACTAACTTGCAGATGAAGAGGATTGAAAGAGGGATTGTTAGGTCCATATCAAAACCCTAGCTATGTCATATTCAACTCGTTTGCCAAAACCATGGGGATTTTATTTTATTTTTTTACCACAACAGTTGTTGTAATGTTATCCAGAAATTTTCAAGCTCTGTCTTCTTTTCTTTTTCTCTCTTTCCATTCCCAACATCAAACTGCACCCTAAGAGAACACAACATCAGAATACTGTAGGAAACAATCTAGTGAAATGTTTAGGGCTACTTTCCTCATAGTTCTAGGAAATCTCCTTCATCATCCCAAATTGTTAGCATACTCTCTCCTCTTCCAATGCGTATACTGCTTCTTGCTTATATCATTAATAACGCCTTCCTCCAGCACTATTGGATTAATGTATATCATATAGGTAGCTATGTGTGTGTGTACATAAATATATATATGCATATTCTTTCTTTATAGCTAATCTATAATGTCCGACAGTCAATGATCATGTCTCTGTAGTTGTATATACTTCATCATTTTATACACTATTCCAGATAAATCAGGCATTTAGGAAAAGTTTGCTGATTAATTGGTAGTCCATCTCTGCCAAATCTAGGATCACTCTGTGAGCATCTACATTCACACTTACATTACTTTGCATGGTTCATAGTGATATTGTTTGGCTGTGTCCCCACCCAAATCTCATCTTGAATTTCTACGTGTTCTGGGAGCTACCCAGTGGGAGGTAATTGAATCATGGGGGCAGGTCTTTCCCATGCTATTCTTGTGATAGTGAGTAAGTCTCATGAGATCTGATGGTTTTATAAGCTCTCTCTTTGCTGACTGCCATCCATGTAAGACGTGAGTTGCTCCTCCTTGCCTTCCACCATAATTGTGAGAACTCCACAGCTATGTGAAACTGTGAGTCCATTAAAATCTCTTTTTCTTCCCACTGTCAGATATGTCTTTATCAGCAGCGTGAAAATAGACTAATATAATATGCTTGTCTTGCTAATTTGATCTTTCTTCTTGCAGGCTGTCTTTGCTTCTTCTCTGTTCCAGCCCTAATCTACTAACACTATTTTTGACTTCACCTTTTTCAGAACAATAAGGTCTTCTGGACAGCATATATCTCAGTCATAAAAATCCATGAGATTTAACCTAAAATTAGACTATCTTTTATTTCAAGTGCCTGATTTCATTAATCTTGACTTTGTGCCTTAGATTCAGGCAGATGAACCAGTGCTTTCCTTTTAACACAAAATCATAAAAATAAAAGAGAAAGGACCTTCATAAAACCAGGCACCAACCTGGATTGCCAGGAACTTGTTTGCCTTTCTATTCCTACAGCCTTGTGATATCACTGAACTCTCAACTGCATGTTTTACACTTTGGCAAATTTAAGGATCTATCCTGTCCCTAAGACTAGGGCACATATATGTCCTAAGCATATATGGAGCTCTAAACGGTACTCTACTGGCATTGTATCATGCTGCTTTGCATCCTGATTTTAGCAAATGAAAGTGTCCTTTTTTTTATCTCATGCCTATGTCCCAGATTCAGCTCATTGATGGCCTGGTACTTCTCATTTCTCCCAGTGTGGTTCTTGTCCATATGGAGGCTTGCTGTTGATTCTCCCCGATGTTGCCTATCTTCCTTGTCTCCTCCTTTTGATGAGAGCTTGGCTCCCTGCTGATAATTTGCTCCATATCTGCACATACATCTGTTCTCTAAATTTACTTGTCACTGTGCCTCCCATAGATTTCAAATAGGTTGCTACTTATTAAAGGCCACTTATCCCCAAGCTGATTCCTAACACTTTTAAATTAGTTAAGGAAATACAGACAAATGATACCTACTTTGCTTCTAAACTTTGAGTTGACAGAGTCAGTATACCTATGCTTTAGGCAGCAGAGATGAACATCCCTGGCAATGGATGATCTGACTGTGTTACAGGTATGGTTAGAATCAGAAACATCAACTTTTAGGGAACATATATTTTAGATACATAACAGTGTCATTAAACAAATATCAAACAATACCCTAACATCTGCATAAGCTTCCCATACTTCTGTGGTGTTAACTTAGTTTATTTGCCTAAATTGCTTGTAGGGTACAATAAGCTGTACCATATAATAAAAGTTATAATAATGCCACTAGAATTGGTTTTCATGCGGTATTAAGATTGGCCAATAAATCTCTGTAACCATATTTTAATCCTCAGATTGCTAAAGAAAGCCATCCTGGAACCATCACCTCTGAATTCTTACTCTTTAAAAGGATGGAATCAGTGTAGAGAAAACAAAAGTAGATAGAAATATATTTTCTACACATAGTATTTGGCAGGAGTGGAGAACAATCAGTATGAAACCTCTAGTTTAATACTTACTATTACACATACAAACACAATACCAAACTTTTTAGCAGCAAAGAAACATATTAAAATCAATATTGCACACAAATATGTATTGCGCCAAAGAAAATGTCAGATGAAAAACCTGTGGAGATCAATATTAGGGACCAAAAATTTCCCATATTGTCTCTATGATGTTGCTGCTAAATAAAGAAATTTGTATTAGTGACATTGACAATGTGCAAGACTTTCTCATTAAAGAAACTCCAGCTTAATAAGTACATGTTACAGTATTGGATTTTTTCCAACCTTCTCCCCTCCTTTTTTGGCATTTACTCATGTAGGAGATTATGATACATCTGTCGAGTATGACATGTGTTAGCTCCAGCCTGGGTGTAGGAACAGGAAAAGGTAAGTCTGCAGCGGTGGCAGCCTTGATAGAAGGAGGGTGGCAGCCTTGAGTGTGTGTATATATTGGTAACATTTCTAGTGTGCCACTGAGGAAAACAAAAGAGAAACATAATTTCACCCTACAGGATTTATTTTTCCCTGCATAATAAAATTAATATTTTCCCCTAATGTCCTCAGAAGTGTTACCTAGTCTCCCTATCTCCTATCCAGAAGTAGCCTCGTATGTCTGAACACAAACCTTGTTAGATAATAAAGTCAGCTCAGATATGTATATTTCTGATTGCATCTCCATCAGAGAACAATTTTGCATTGAGATATGTTTCAAAATTTTAGCGAAGTTTTGTATATCACTATTTAGAGTGACTCCCAACATCTTTCTGCATGATGATGATTAGGCTCATGAAGTAGGCACTCTATTACCTATTGTTCCCTGCTCTGTTGCTCTGGCAAAACATCGACATCAATCATCAACGTCATGTTGATAACTCCTTTATGTAATTACCCATCTTTCTAGAAGGTCTGAAGAGATATCTGTACTACTTATTAGCCACAAGATCAAGACAGGCCATTCAACCTCTTTGGCCGTGTTTCCTAATTTGGAACATGCACATAATATCTGACCTGCATGCTTCGTGGGCTATAATGATCAAATAAAATGATAGTCGGAAAAGTGGTTTTTAAAACTGCAAAGCCCTGCGCAAACATGAAAGTGTCTTTCAACATGGTACCCACAGACGTGGAAATACATGAGTATAACTCTGCCATTGGTGGCCTGAGGCAACAATGAGAATTCTGCATCAAGGTCCAGATCCTGTCTAGCAACAGTGAGCTTTAAGCCCCAGTGCAGACAGCTGGCCAGGATGAGTTTTATCAGTGCTAGATCGGTCTTATTCTTTCAGTGTATTTTGTGAGTTCTTGACCTCACGTGCCTGAAAACTGCCCTTGCTGGGGAGTTGTTAAAAAGCTGCTCTGGCTTTTTCACTCTCAGAATTGTTCGATGAATGAATCCAACATAGCCAGTTCTAACCTATCAAGAAATAAATTTGCTATCATTTAAATATGCAAAATTAGAAAAAAAGTCTTCCTTAAACACATTTTCAAATCATGCTGAAAGAGATTTATAATTTGACAAGGATGTGTGAATCTGGGTTCTGATGTTCAGAAGTAGAAATAAAGCAATTTTCAGCCCACGTTGTAAAAACTAGAGCTTCGCATCCCCCATTGGAAAACTGTCCTTTGTCTTTCCCTATCACCATAATTAACTAGTTCCTATTCATTAAACAATGAAACAGACAATTAAATAGTAATAATAGTACTTTAATTATGAAGGTATTGTTATCTGCATAGAATGTGGAAAGGGAGATCACTTTAGCTGCATTTAAAACATTTGCTTGTCTGCTTTTTAAATACAGAAGAAAAAAGTGCTCATAATTTCAGAGCCTCTAACAGGAAAAAGGACAGAATATATACCCTCAGAAGGCCATTTTTGATAAACAGGAGTCACATGTATTAATGGACTAAGCATTGATTAAGACACGTGCATTTGTAACATGCATGCTTAGTATTTTTTCAAGAGGCATCTTGAATAGTCCTAAGAACCATCAGCAAGTATTTTTAGACACAAGGATGCATGGTGAAGATGAAAGTCCTGTGCATGATGACTTTCAGAGTTTGTTGAGCACCATGATTCTTGGGTTAAATCACTTCAAACTACTCTTTAACTTGCCTTTTCTTTTTTTCTTTGAGTTGAGTATGATTTTGATGCTAGAGTTGGCTCTAGTATCACTATTTTATGTTTTGATACAACTGAATAAATTATGTCTTCAGTTACACAAAAACAAGCTGAATCTCCAAAATATGTTTTGTTCCTTTACCTGCTAACAATTCTCCACATTTGGGACTTTATTTCTCAGGAAAGAACTTCAGATATAAACTACTTTCTCTCTTACCACAGTTACCTTTCACCTAGTAAAATCCTAGGATGTGGACAGCTTTGGCAATTGGAAAGGAAAGCTTTCTATTTTATAATTAAATAAAATCTTAGTGTTTGCAAGGTCAGCTGAGAGAAAGGAAGAATAGACCCAAAGTCAGGCAAGTAAGTTTATTGAACCTGCAGGCTGCTCCACTACAGACAGAGGAGGCAGCCCTGAGCTTACAAAATGAGGGGTTTATATGGGGGAGAGAGACCCTGGGGTTGTTTGCTGGTTAATTCTGCCACATATCACTTTGTGACATTTATGGTACATGGGGGTGTAGGTAAAGTTTGTTTATGCTTCCCACGACCTCCCCCTGTGTGGTTTGGATGGTTTGTAATTGGAGTTTGCTCATGGCAGCAAGGTCTGATAAGTAAGTCTGCTGGCTCCACTGTGGCGCCTAGATAAGGGCTTATAAATGTAAAAAGGCTTGGGGGAAGGGGAGGGGTGGCACGGAGAGGTTTGGGAGGGGGGTGTCCACAGTACCAAGAAGTTTTTGGGGCGGTTTGTCCCTAACAGTGTTTATTAAATGTTACATATTCAGCTACAAGGGAGGCAATATTGTATGACCATTACATCTAGATCTGAATCTATGCTTTGCCTCTTAGAAGCTCTGTGACCTTGAGCAAGTAATCCTCGGAGTTTCTTTTCTCCATCTGTAAAATGGGGCTACCTTACAGGCCTTGAAAATTACATATGAAACACTCCGCATGGATCCAGGCTTAGTGTATCCTTACTAACCTTACTAACTTCACTTGTTCTCATCATTCCAAATTTCATAGACTTTGTTTTCTATATCTGTAGGCTCCTTGGTGCAATGAACTAGTGAATCCTCCCAGAAGACATAAAGGATCAGTTATTCTTGTTTCGTTTTGTTTTTTCCTTGATTACATCCACTTTTGCTTTTCAATATTTCAGAAAATAATGCCATTTCTCCCACACTATCCAAGCAGTCTCCAAGGCACTTAACAGGAACTTACCTGGAGTCATTTGATTCATCTGCCTGAGAGTTGGCTCTAGAGTCCAGGTGTCCTGACTCCTAGGCTTGCTATTTCCAAAGCATCCCTTCTCCTTAGGAAAGGAGCAGAAGGCATCCCTTTTTCTCCTTTCCTAAACTGAAGGACATTGATTTATTTTTAACAGTTAGACATTAAAAAAATTATTGAAGGTTAAAAATGCAACCACAGATTCCCTTTGGGAGTTCATTCCATTTGAGATTTCGCTAAAGGTAGTAATGACACTGTCTTCAGCCTCCTTAGAGTTTACTAATCTACAGTAAGTTGGCACAGAATATCAGTTGGCAAATAGTTAAAGACCTGAACTATGGCAAATTCGATGTAAACCTAAATATCTGAAAAATCTATCCTGGATGTGTGAAATTTTGATTTACAAGATCAACTGCAAGAAAGGTACAGTTGTACAGCTCAGTGTATACTCAGAACTCTGGATTATACTTTTTGCCCTTTGAGTACCCAATGTATCTGTCTTTAGACAGCCCTTCAGGCTAATGTTGGATGAGAAGCTCTTCTATAACCCTAAGTAAATAAATCATCTTCTGTCTTTTTAATTTAGAAAATAATGTTTCTTCGTAAGTCTGTGTCAAGTTCGTGAATCAGCCTCACTTTCTTATGGCAAGGAGTAGAACGAACCCAAGAAAACATACCAGCTGTGACCCCAGTATTTTATGAAGAAACCCTTCAGGCTGAAAGGCGAAGGACTCTTGTACCTGACAGTATCCATCCAGATTCCCCACTGGATCAAATAAATACATTGATCTTTAAAGTGCACCATGATCATTGGAAGTGCAACAATTTACTTTGGACCCTTTTCTGAGTTGTATCAATGAAGAACTGTTTTAATCGATTTAATAATGAATTTTTTTTGCCAAGGTCATATTGTATTTCATTAATTCACTACCTAGTATCTTCCTTTGTTAATTAGTAAGCTCAAGAAATCAGAAAGAATTAATATCCTTAACTTTATTCTAAGTGATTTTCAAAGTTATATATTCACAGTTACTCAATTTTATTTTCAACCTATACTCCAGAGTTCATATAAATACCATTTGGCATTTGATTAAAACCTCATCATTATTTCAGTTTATTAGAACAAATGTTTTTTGACTACCTACTTTAAGGCCATTTTCAGAGAAGATTCCTTCATGAAAAATACATCAGCTGCTTGATTCTCTACTCAGTGAAGACACACTACCTTTTAAGGAAGGTAGAATAAAAATTCTATTTTTCTATGGCAGATTCTGTGCCAGATGCCTTATATACATTATCTTATTTAATTCTCCCAGTAAGTTATGTGCTAGGCATTACTATATCCATTTTACAGGTATGAAAACTGAGGTGAGGAAGGTAAACTAACTTGCTGAGGACTGTATAGCCGGGGAGTGGCAGGAATGAGGTTGAAGTCACTCTGACTTGCTGTCACATATTGCTCCTGTCTACACATAGTCATGCAGGCACAGGGTTTTCTCATAATCCAAGAAAGAAGGTCACTTATGCCATAAGAGAGCAGCAAATCAGTTATCATGACATTTCAGAGGAGGGGAAGATTACTTATAACTCCAAATAATCAGGGAAATTTCATCGAGGTGGTGGCATTTAGTCAGAATCTTGAAGGACAGGTAGGTTTGGGTCATGCTGGAATAAACGGCACTCCTGGCAGATAGGGTAGGTTAGGCAAGGAAAAGGCATTGGGGAAAGGGGGAAGACATGTCTGGGAAAAGCAAATAGTCAAATTTGTGGGGAGTAGGGCGCATATGAAAGAAAGTAGAAGGAGGTGAGTATGAAAAAATAGGGCAGGAGACATTGTTGGGTGCCTTCTGTACCTGTCTACAGGATTTATACTTAATGGAGAGCTCTAGAAAGTTTTCAAGTAGGAGAATGGTGTGATTGCAGCTGTGTTTTAGGCAGCTTAATCCAGGAATGCTGTGATGGACAGGAGGGGCCCGCTCAGTTAGGAACCAAAAAAGTAGAGCTGGGAAGGTGGGGAGTGAAACGTGCCTTCAATATTCTTGCATCTCAGTAACTATTAGAATTTGGTGACAGCCAATGGCGACTACAGTAGGACAGAATCCTGCGTTTATATTATGTTGATCTTATTTTATGTGTGTTTAATTCATGAGGTAGAAGATATGTTTGTTTTGTTAGAAGTTGAAATTGGGGTGCTCATGAGATGTCCAAGTGGAGATATCCCAGAGCAGGGAAGACATTCCATAAATAACTCAGAGGAGAAGTAGAACTGGAGTGGCAGATATGGGAATCACCTGCCTCAATGCAGAGTTACAGACAAGAGGAATGATGAGAAGCCCCAGGGAGAAAGTCTAGAGCAGAGTATCAAGATAGAGGTTTAAAGAATAAATTTAAGGAATGCTTAACTTTGGGAGTGGGAGAAATAAAGTCACGTGGAGAAGGACAGGAAGAAAGGGAGAAGTGATGAATGCCATTCATGAGCACCTTCTGTGCAACAGAGCCAGAGCTGAATGCCTTATGTCTAATAAATGCAGGAAACCTACAAACCAGGTGTGAACCTCAGTTTGCAGATCAGAAAACCGAGGCTCAGAGAAGTTAACTTATCAAAATCTGACAACTGTATGGTAGTGATGGAGCCAGAATTGGAATCTGATGTTCTGATTCTGAAGCCTGTGCTTTTTTTCTGAGTCGCAGGTTGTCAAACTTTCTATAAAGGGCACAATAGTAAATATTAATATTTTAGGCTTTAAGAGCCATGTGGTCTTAGCTGCACCTACTTAATTCTTCTCTTGTGGTGAAAAAGAGTCCCAGACCATCGTAAATGGGTGTGGCTGAGTCCAATAAAACTAAATTTGTGCTCACTGAAATATGATTTTATATCATTTTCCTGAGTCACAAAATATTACCTTGTTTTGATCTTTTTCCAACCACTTAAAAATGTAAAAGCCATCCTTTGCTTGTAGGGAGTGCAAAAACAGGTGGCAGGCTGGATTTGACCTGTGGGCTGCAAAACATCAGAAGAGGTAGGTGGGCAAAAAGTCAGAAATGTATCAAACCACAGAAGTTTACAGGTCCAGACTGGGCATGGTGGCTCACGCCTGTAATCGCAGCATTTTGGGAGGCTGAGGCTGGTGGATCACTTGAGGTCAGGAGTTTGAGACCAGTGTGGCCAACATGGCAAAACCCTGTCTCTGCTAAAAATACAAAAATTTGCCGGGCATGGTAGTGGGTGCCTGTGATCCCAGCTACTTGGTAGGCTGAGGCAAGATAATCACTTAGACCTGGGAGACAGAGGTTGCAGTAAGCTGAGATCGCAGCACTGCACTTCAGCCTGGGCAACAGAGTGAGACTCTGTCTCAAAAAAAATAAAAAGTTTTCAGGTCCATATCATGATTGTTGGTTGAATCTTTATCTCATCATTTGTAGTGACACAGATTATATTTTAATGTCTTTGTCTTGTTTACGTCCTTGAACCTATAAGAACAAACCTGTTTAATTGCAAACTCACTTCTTAGAGCTTGGAGAACTTAGCAATCCTCTTGGAAATGGGGAGGGGGTCTCCTCAGACATAACTTGGTCAACCTCATTTTCTCATTTCCTTCAGCATATTTTCCTCTCCATTTTGTAATCTGTGGTTAAGGCTGACCTACACTTCAAGCCTTTTCTGTGAATACATCAGTTCCATTTTAACTCTGATTCTTGTATTGAAATAATTCTGCTTCTTAAGGATGAGACAATCTACCTTCTCCCATAGTAATGAATCTCCAACATGAGAAGCAAAACAAAGATCCTTCTCTTTCCGTTCTTCGTTGAAAATTACATTTCAGGTTTTGTTCTTGTTTGAAAACAAAGTATGAGAATTTTTGTACATTCTGCCTGTTCTCTTCATGTAATTACATTTTTATTTGTTTGAATGCCAATTCTTGTGATCTAAGTCCCTCTTTTATACGTACATCCTCAGACCCAAAGCAGCTCTTTATGTCTGAAAATGCATGTTTTTCTTTGATTATGTTTTTTTTCCCCCTGTGCTGTCTTATCCCCTCCCCACCCTGCTCCTATTTCTGGCAATGCAATTGAACTTAACTTTACTAATTTTGAACATACATTTTACTAATTTCCTTTCTCTTCTCACACCTGGGGAGAGTGTGTTTCATAGAGAAGAGAGGATTGAGGAGGAAATCCGATATTTTGACTAACTGGAAGAATACGTGGCAGGGGTAGAAGTAAATTGTATTATCTCATGGCCTATCCAGTTTGTCACTATTCCTCAAAGTGGGCCATGCATTTTGGAAAGTTCAGGAAATGGTTTTAAGGGCAGGATTGGCAAAAACAATGTGAAAAATTAGGCAAGTATGTAGTTGGATGATCTGCGATGTGTCTTCTCAGGCATGCTCTCCCCTCTTGAGTCATCTTCTGGAGATATCTCTTCTTTGTTCTGTTCTTTGCTGACTGCAAGGTACTGATGCCCAGGCTGTAGAGGCAAACAGTGACAAGATGGTAGATGAAGATGGAATTGACATCATCTGTGCCCACAACTGATTAATCATGGTCGGAATGTCTGAAGGTGCTTCATTGGCCACTAAGCTTATATCTTTTCCAAATTATCTTTTTCTCTTTTCTGGCTCAAAAAAGGTGGCTATATTAAACTCATCCTCTGTTGATCAATAGCATCAAGTACAGTTATGAAGCTGATATGGACCATTTGGAAATTAAAGAAACCCAAAGATGAACTTTGGATTGAACTTAGTCTCAAATCATTGCTTTGAAACAAAGGAATATGAATAACTACTCTGATGTAACAAATACTTGTTACGTTCCAGACCTTGCCCTGGTGCTTTATAGACATTATTTTATTTAATTCCTACTTTTTATATGAATTATTATTATTGTGCTTCTTTTGCAGATGGAAAAATTGAGACCCAGGGAGGTTATTTACCATGCCAGAACTTGAACCCAGGTATGATGGGTTCCCAAGTCTATGCTGCCACAAAACATATTAGATTGAGACAATCACCTATAATGGTAACCTTTACTTCATATTGATTTCACTTTTTGGACCTCTGTCACATCTGAAAATCTTCAGGGAATCATAACTGGGAGAGAAAAGCAGCTTTCTCTCAGGGCATACAAAATGAAGGCAGAAGGGCAACCCTACAGAGACATTTTCAAGTTTGAACAGCTTCACTTGGGGTGGAGCCTGCGGCAGAGCTGCAGGGAGACCCCGAGGTGTCCTTATTCCTGTAACTGAACAAACAGGGTTGTCCCTAGGTGAGGTGGAGTCAAGCTGCAGGAGTGTGCCACAGGGCTCCTGGCCACCTAGGCAAGAGTTAATTCTTACAATTGGGAGCATTTAGAGATGAGAGGAGTAGATTCCAACAGTTAATGGGATTTTAGATGACATGTTGTATAAAATTTTCAAAGTGGGATTCTTACATACATAATTTATCTCTGTAATTAAAAAGCCTAATTTAAAAAATAATACAGATGCAACACATAATGGTGTGATTTCTTGTCACAAAAACAAATTATTATCTTGATAATGCAATACTATAATTTACATTGCTGCAAAATACAGTACTTTCACGAATTGCATGATAAATGTTGTCTAATTATTTTCCTCCCAGTTCTCTCCCTCTTCCTTGTGAGATGATAAGAATCCAGTTGTCAGTGGTGGGTTGAACCCTTCCTATCAGCATCTGTTGGGGGAGGACAACATTTAGGAAGGTCCCTTGGCTTTGTCCCATTGGATAAGCAAAGCAAATGCCATCAGGTGCTTTAATGTGAATGTGCATTTTGCAGAAAGTCTCTAGAGGGGGCTGAGTTTGGTGTGAGCATGTATTTTATTGCAAGTTTCTCAAGTATTCTGCAGATGAGAGTGAGGGGCCCACTGTTATGGGGGTACTTTAGCCATAAATGACCATTATATTCTGAACAGCCCTGTCAATTTCCCTGGCTTCCCTCCTGGTTACAGACCCGTCATTCTCAGCCAAGAAGGGAGTGTAAATAGCTCTCCCACCGCTGATGCCACTTAGCTGGCTGCAAATTGATGTGGATGGCTCTTTAGCTTTGGAGACTGTGCCTTTCACCTTCACAGCGCTGGGCATTCATTGGCCTGCGGCTTTGGAGCCTGAGATAAATCCTCAACTAGAACTTTGCTGTCCGCATTGCAACACATCAGAACTCAGCCGGTGGATGGAAATTTCAAACATTTTGGAAATTTACACCATGTCACTCTCCGAGGGCAATGATTTCAAGAAATTATGCCATCTCCACCCACCTTTGCATACTAAGGCTAAACACCCAGAGCCATTTCTAACTCCAGCTAAAGTGCTGAAGGTCAGAGAAGTCAAGATGAGCCAGAGCGTTGTACATGTTTCCCATTATTATGCTAATCATATGCATGGTCTTTGTGCACTTACACATCCATTTTCACGGCCAAAAAAAAAATACATCAGTGTTTTAAACAATGCTAATATTGTAATAAAGCAGTGACAAATGACTGAAGATTTCAAGTAAAGACTCCCATTTTGCCCTTGGCTTGTGACATTTGGGAGAAGGAAGAAAAGATGTAGCCTAAAATGTGGTTTTTAAATTCTGTTAACTCTTTTTGTGTTTGTTTCCTGACTTTGGTGTTCATATCGTAACATTCCTGACAACCTAGTTTTCCACCTTAAACTTTCTCATGATTTGGGTGGATGCTTGGAAAAAAAAAATAGGCTATAGGTGATGGTTAATATTGAGTGTCAACTTGATTGGATCGAAGGATGCAAAGTATTATCCCTGGGTGTGTCTGTGAGGGTGTTGCCAAAGGAGATTAACACTTGAGTCAGTGGACTGGGAAAGATAGGCCCACCCTTAATCTGGGTGGGCACCATCTAGTCAGCTGCCAGTGGAGCTGGGATAAAAGCAGGTAGAGGAATGTGGAAGTACTAGACTGGCTAAGTCTTCTTGCCTCCATTTTCCTCCCGTGCTGGATGCTTCCTGCCCTTGAACATCTGACTCCAAGTTCTTCAGCTTTTGGACTCTTGGACCTATACCAGTGGTCTGCCAGGGGCCCTCCGGCTTTCAGCCACAGACTGCACTGCCGACTTGCCTACATTTGAGTTTTTGGGACTCTGACTGGTTTCCTTGCTCCTCAGCTTGCAGATGGCCTATTGTGGGACTTCACCTTGTGACTGTGTGAGTCAATTCTCCTTAATAAACTCCCCTTCATAGATACATCTATCCTATTAGTCCTGTCCCTCTAGAGAGCCCTGAGTAATACACTATATATTGACACATCTCCCACGAACCTATCTTGTGCTTTGAGAGTAACACTATTTGTGAAGAGTTTGCTGGTTTTGTAAGACTCAAGGCCAATCCAGGTTTTTCCACTCAACGTTCAGAAAATCCTTATTAGTAAATTAGCTTGCCTTCTCCAGACGAAAACATTCAACGAATTTAACCCCTTTCATCCTTTTAATAGTGTAACATGTCAATCATTTTAATTTTCTTTGCTAATGTCTATTAATTAATTTAACCAAACCACTTTGTTTCAGTTGGTGCTATCCCAGGCATTCAATATATGAAAAGCGTAAGAAACTGGTGAGTTATATTAACAACAAATGGAAACAGCATCAATGAGTGTGATGGTCCTGATAGGAAGAATCATGCTGAGGGCATGTCCTAGAGTCCTAGAGGGCACTGGGATGAGTTCTGCCACTTTGGAGGGCAGGAGCCTGGAGAGCTTCCCAGAGGGCTCAGGGGGCAGAAAGAACAGCATGAGTGAAGCCACGGCTGACCCATGGGGATTGGGGAGTGTTGAGCAGACTGAGGAATGGATGCAAGGCTGTGATGTAGGGCATCAAGAAATGAGGTTAGTGACATGGCTTGGGAATCAGATGAGAAAGGCTTTTAATAATCTGCTCTGAGTGTTAGGAACATAAACTGAGTATCATCACTGATCTTTTTTAAACCATCCCTCGAATGCTACAGCCCTCATTATCTATACCAGTAATATTGTCACTTAAGCTGTCTCATCCCACTAGTGTGTCTCACACCTCCCCAAACGAAGAGAAAGTTCTGTCCTGCATATCTCTTTTCTCTTCTCATATCACTCGTGGCATTGCATTGAGTGCTTACTCCTCATTCAGTGATGGTTTAAAAGAATTCACTCTCAGGTGTCCACTGTCTCTAGAACACAGGATCCAGCCACAGGCTGTTTGCATAGGACCTCTGGGTGTCTTGTGGTGGATACACTAAGCCTCCGCCTGCCCTCAAGTTTGCAACGTTGAGCAAATTTCCCACTTCTGGAACATTTCTGGATTAAGGATGTTTCTAGAAAACCGCAGGGAAAATATATTCCCTAATCGAAAGGGAGAGGGTGTAACTGGCCCAAACATAAGCTCCCTTAGCGTGGAGCTAGTTGTCTTGGGAATTGGCTCTCTCTGGATGTAGAAAACAGAATCTTTGATGGGTCTGGGGTTTGTCCTGCAGCTGGAATCCCAAGCCACAAAAGGGCAGTGAGAAATCCAGGGCACCAGGAGATAACAGGGAGCCGGATGTTTGAAAACTCCATGGGGCAAGTTAGGCCACCCAGAAGCTGCCTTCGTTTCTCAGCCTCCCCACTCCCTGCCGCCATGTTGCTCAGGTTTCTTTCTTTCTTTCTCTTTCTCCTGCTTCAGCCTCCCGAGTAGCTGGAATTACAGGCGCCCGCCACCACGCCCAGCTAATTTTTCTATTTTTGGTAAAGATGGGGTTTCACCATGTTGGCCACGCTGTTCCAGAACTCGCAGACCTCAGGTGATCCGCCCACCTTGGCCTCCCAAAGTGCTGGGATTACAGGCATGAGCCACCTTGCCCGGCCAGGTTTCCTTCTGATGAATCCCACCGGCCTGGGCTTCTCTTAGCATGCCATGATGGCGCCCCTCACCTCATCATGTTCTACTTACTCCCTTCCACCCACCATGCTGCTGTCTCATGGGTGCCCTGGCTCAACCCCAACTCACTCTGTAGCAACTCCCAGGTTGCCATTTCCCCGTGATGGACTAGGTGCTCTGAGCTCTTGCAGCATCCCCAGCACTCCTCCATAAGATCATTTAATTTTAATAAGCGCCATTTGCTCTCAGTGTCTGACTTGCCTGTGAGAGCCTCATGTGCTGGGCAAGGCCAGGATGAGGGTGAGACGGCTGCGGCAGTATCCTGATGCATGTAAGGGGCAAGAAAAACCCTCCCTAGGCAAAGGAAGTCATCTTTTAATGTAAAATCTTAAAAATCAAAATTAATGCAAAAAATCTGTAATGAGCAACATCTCGGTATTTTAAGTAAAGACAGGATCACTGTTACTGAATTTTCTTTTTGCCTCAGGCTCCAATATGGCTTGGCACAGTCCTATTTCTGATCCTGTCTTTATTTAAAATGTTGGTACATTGCTCATCATTGATTTTTGCATTAATTTTGTTTTTTAAAAAATTTTGCATTAGATGAGTACTTACCTTGATTAGGGAGAGTTTATTGGAACCCTGTTAAATTCTGTGCCCAAGGATAGGGCTTCACTCATCCTACCCTAGAGCTGGCTGTGGTGCTGGGATGACCTCTTATTCTCAAATTTGGCACAAGGCCTTCTTTTGATATGTGCTTATCAAACGCTACTTTACTAGATTCAGTTGAGAATGAGTTCCAGAACACAGGCATGTGAATGTGTGAATTTTCCTCTAAGTTGCAGACTCATTATCAACACTCCTAATCCAATTTCTTCTCTCACTGTCATCTCAGATGTTGGGAATGCTGTTTATTATCTAAAGGAAAATGGACCCCCTAGGTCTGCTCTTCAGGCTGATCCTAGGTAACTGACACCTATTTAGGGAAATAGGTCAAATCCATCAATATTCTTTTAGGTATGCATTAAGTACCTGCTGCGTGCCAGGGGCTTCCCTGGGCATCATCTCTGTTCTTGTGGAGCTTATTAAAGCCTGGAAGGGGAGAAGATGAGTAAATTGATGATGCATGAAATCATAAAAAAAATGTACAAGATAAAGAAGTAATCCAGATGAGCGAGCGATCACAAACAGAAATACAACAGTTCCTCCAGCTTGCTTTCTACTCCAATAGCCAAAGATCATAAAATAAAGATAAGTTTTTCTTTCCTATTTGCCCATCGAAAATTGTTACTTACTTTGGGTGAAAGGATATTTGCAAGGCTGCTTTTATGATATACAGCTACTTTCACCTCAAGTCAAAGCATTTTAGAGATCAATTTTCACAGCACCAGTAAAAGACAAGGGATATATATCTGTTAGTTGCCCTGAATTTCACTTCTGACAGTGATTGAAATGGCTAAGCCCACCTCTACTCCAACACATTCCCACTTGACATTAGTTACCTGAAAAATGACTGTAGATTATCAAAGCCAAGTGCAGCTTCCAGGAACACCAAAGGCTAGTCAATTTGGTGCTTGCCTCACTGGGATATAGTTTGGAGCATATCTTGTTAACATACGTATGAGACTGTTGTAAAGGAGATAAAGAAAAGCTGTACTAAGAATTAAACACGTGATAAGTATTCTATTTTTCATATAGGTGTACCTTGCCCTTTGCTTGAGTTGAAGGGCTTTGTTTTCACTCAAACTTCAAGAAATGTTTATTAAGCACATACTACAACTAGTGCTGTGCCATAGATGCTTGAGATAAAAAGATATATTACACACAGTCTCTGCCCTAAAGGAGATTGTAGCAATATGGACAGAGAGAGTGAGCAGGAGGGTCCCATAGTCATAGAGGTTTGCTCTGCCTAGATCGATGTTTTTGTGGAGCCTGGTCATTAACAGTGGGCTCTGGGGTCAGGCTACCTGTGTACAGGCCTTGAGCAAATTACTTACCCTCCTTATTTCTCAGTTTCCTCTTCTCTAAAATGCAAGTAACAGTTCTTTAGCTCTTGTGCTTATTGTAAGAATTGAATGTATTAACCTATGTAAATCACTTAGAGCAGTGTTTAACGCACAATAAGCGCTCAGTAAACATTCACTGTCATTCTTAATATAATATCATAATGAAAGGATTATGTGCTTCTGTGGGAGCACAGGGGAGAGTCACTTGTTCTAGACTGGAGGGAGTCCCTGGAAAAGATGGCCTCTGAGTTGGGTCTTGAAGACGATATTGGTGTTATCCAGAGGAGGAGCTGGAGGGAGAAGTGTGCTCCGAGGAGTGCTAAGTCACCAAAGAATGGAAAGTCATAGTGTGTGGAAGGAGGTGGGGGAGGAGGGAACTTTCTGGAATCCGAAAAAGTGTACACCTGCACAAAAACCAAAGTGAACAAACATCATGAAGAAATGAGAGGGCTGTGTGATGGCTGGCACAGGAGGTCAACTTACCACGCTGAGGAGGTCAGACAGATGCGAGGCTGTGGTGTTGAGTGGCTTTGGATGTCACCTTGGAAGGAATAAAACTTTGAGATAGATGGAAAGACTAATCTCTGCACCACTCACAGTATTTAAAACAGTGCCTTGCACTTAATAAATATTGCATAAGTTGATTTGACAATCCATTGATTATTGCTTCTGTGTTATTTATAAGGTCTGCCACATCAATACAAAAGCAATGTTGGCTTCATTGAAGTTTTAGTGCAATTGTTCGTTTGGGACAACAAGTTCTTCCATGATCCCCCTACTTAATTCCTAATTTATTCCTGCGTCACAACTCCACGCCTTTGTTATTGAAATCATTATCTTGGGATAGAGCCAGTTCAGTTCTTCTGAAAAAAATCATTTCTAGAAAATCATTAGTTGGTTTAGTATAAAAATAAAAATTAAGGAAAGTTTCCTGTCAAAGGAAGAATAAAACAGGGGAAGTAAAGGGCTGTTTTGTAGGTGATACCATGGCATGGGCTTATGGCTGGATAACTAGGCTCATTTCCTTTCCAAATCAAAAATATATATTTGGTATTTTCCTATTGCATTTGTCAAACACAAGCAAGACACGCTTTCCACAAATTGCTACCTTAGTCTCAAATTAGACAGTTTTAATCAGCTTTCTCTTTCTGTCCACAATGTCTAAGTAATACCAAATTTGGAAATAGCGTTATAATTATGTTATCATTATTAAGGCAGCAGGTGGCTTTTAATGAGATCTTGAAACAGAACTGTTCCCTCTATGTCCAATCAAAATCCACACTTTGCTGCCTTGACAGAAAACACTGAACTGTTTTTCTCAGCTCTGGGGAGATAAATCAACGAAAATTGTGATTGTTCTAAAAATTGTAGTTTCTGATTGAACCTGTCTTTGTGTTTTACATGATAAGGAAATATTATTTTTTTGGAAACAAACAATAACTATACTGGGCCAAAAGAAAAAGAAATTCATTTGAATTAGCCTGAATCTAGTGTGAACAATTAATTCTGAACTACAACTAAGAAGCTCTGTTTTTGAATTCTCAAACAGTTTTATTGAGAGAAACCTGAGAATCTGTGAAAATGCATCCACTTATTCAGCATGAAAAAGAGTTCTAGCAATAAGGACTTTTAACAGTTTAGCTGAGCCAAGAGCTGCTATTACCTTTTAAACCCAAATAGATTTGTCAGAATTTTTAGTTACTATTTTTTTTGTATATAGCTCAGAAAGTTCTGTAATATTTCTCAGAAATTACATTATGTATACTTTTGAAAAGCTTGTTGGTTTAGAAGTAAAGAGAACCAACCCAAATGTCCAACAGTGATAGACTGGATTAAGAAAATGAGGCACATATACACCATGGAATACTATGCAGCTGTAAAAAATGATGAGTTCGTGTCCTTTGTAGGGACATGGATGAAGCTGGAAACCATCATTCTCAGCAAACTATCGCAAGGACAAAAAACCAAACACCGCATGTTCTCACTCATAGGTGGGAGTGGGAACTGAACAATGAGAACACATGGACACAGGAAGGGGAACATCACACACCGGGGCCTGTTGTGGGGCAGGGGGAGCGGGGAGGGATAGCATTTGGAGATATACCTAATGCTAAATGACGAGTTACTGGTTGCAGCACACCAACATGGCACATGTATACATATGTAACTAACCTGCACATTGTGCACATGTACCCTAAAACTTAAAGTATAGTAAAAATATATATATATGTAAATAAATTAAAAAAAAAAGAAGTAAAGAGAACCTAGATCCTCCACCAGGGGAATACATCTTCAGATTTTAAATGGTTTTCTTAAAGTTCACTCTTAACCCCCCTGCATATGGGTGTGGTAAAAGAGATGACCATTTATCCCACATATAGAAATACTTCTTGTCCTGCCAAACTATTTAGAACTTTTGCTGGGTATGGTAATTCTTTTATTTTCTACATACCTGCTTGTTTATAGATGAATCAAAAGATTTACAATATGCTCCGTCTCAAAAAAAAAAAAAAAAAAAAAAGATTTACAAAATGAGATAATCTAAGAAAAGTCAAAAGTAAGTGGCATGTTGGTGCCGCTAACTCATTAGTTCAGGTTCTAGGATTTAAGGAAATCATTAGTACCTCATTGACCACCAAGTAATGGGGACTTCGCAGTCCTCAAATCAGTTCAAACATTGTAATGCCAAATGGGTGACTGAGCTAAAGATAGTGCCCAAGCAATGAGGAATGTCTGGTGCACGGATTCCTTGAGTCCCAAGAATTTCAATAATTGCTTTTTCCTGTCTTGCCATGGCATCTATTTGAACCAATACCACGTCCCATAAAAATCAATAAGGAAAGCTCTAACAGGCCCCAGTGTCAGGCAGGAGTGAACTTCTGAGAGCTCTGGTGAAGAGTTCAGTGGGGACAGTGGAGAGACACCATGCATCAGGCATCTGGGCAACTTGGACTTGATTCTAGGGGTAGTGGAAATGCACAGAGGCATTTAAAATGGGAGAGTGGTATAAGCAAATTTGTATTTGGGAATGAATTTGAGGGAGCAAGACTGAAAACAAGAACAGTGCTAAGAGGGATGCACAGAGCATGGGCTAGGAAAGAATGATAGAGGAAAAATGAAAAATTTAAAAATCGCAGAACTAAACCTTATTGGCAATGGAGTTGTTAGCAGTGGGGACAGAGTGGAAGCAAGGATCACTTGGGCAACTGCATGGATGGCTGCTTACAATATCTGTGTCTGGGAGCAGAATGAAAAATTTACAGCATAAGCCGAATTTTACCACATTGAAAAGGAGGCAAATAAAAGAAAATCTCAGAAAAGTACATTCTTAGAGGATAGGGGATCATACCCCATTTATTTGGGGTGTGGTGTCTCCAGTGGAGATAGATATCTTTGGAGGTCAGTAAGATTCAGCTGTTCTCTCTATATTTATTCCTTTCCCATTAGATATGGCCAATTTCCTCCCCCCTCCATCAATCTTCTTTTGTATTTTAACTTACATTTTGTTTTCTGGAACAAGGACTTAGTGCATAATAGAAATTCTATTAAAATAAATTGGAGCCTAAGTAACTCACATATTAAGACACAAATTTTCTGTCTGATAATGTACCGTCCTAATATTTTATAACATACCTCTCTCGTTGGGTGGTGATTTGTAAAGAATTACCAATTCCTTATGTGATGTAGGCTCCATTTCTTCTTCTATCACTCTTATACCCAGGTGTCACCATCAGGATGGGAAAATGACTTAAGACATTTCAGCAATAAAGCAATATAAAGATTTTAAAAGATGCGATTCTTTGTAGCATAATTTTAATAATTGCATTACCAATAAATTACCATCACTATTAAAAAAGAGAGAATATTAGCTCACTTTATTCAAATGTGTTGGAAAACATAATTCTTAACATGGTGAGCAGTATTATTAACCTTTTAAACAAAAGTTATAATCCTTCTTTTAAATATATTATTATTATAAATCTGTTTCATTTTTAAGATTTTCAGGAATCAATATAATAAGCTGTCCATTTTCCCTTATTTCACAAAGAAAGTAAATTAGAGGATAGGATTCAACTGGCATAAATGTACTTTACAGAAAACTATTGGAATGCCTCTGTCAATGATAAGAAATATTTTAATTCTTACTATGATTATAGTTGCCATTCTATGATTTACATTTGAAAGGAAGGGAATAAAATATGGTTTTTTGCTGTCTCCTTTACAACAGTTCAATTGTTCATTTCTTCACTTTTTCCTACTCATTTAGTCTTTCATTCACTCAAGAAATATTTGAGTATCTACTATGTGTGGACATTTCTGGCCACTTAATATTCATTCCTTCTTCTAGGAGACCCTGATTTCCTTCTAGGCCATCAGCTTCCCTCCACTGTTTGAAACCTTGTTTGGGTGGCATATCAAAGAAGTTCTCTCCTATTATACAGAAGTCAAAGGGCTCCACACAAGCTCAGTTCTCCATATTTTTTCTATCACCACCCTGGAACATCCAAAGTGCAGGCATGAGACCTGAACTCGGTCAATCAGACACTCCCTCCTGGAGTGATAAACTGAAGAGAGTGACATTCCCACAGCCAATTGACTAGAACTTCATTCCAGTGTTGGGGGGTGGACACCTTTGAGCATTTCCTGCCTCTGAGATCTGTTAGTGCTTCCTGATTCCTGTCTACTCCAAACCTTCTGTTTCTGCCGTCTCTTTTGTCCTCTCTGTGACTTCCTTCTTATTCTTCCAAAAACTTTTCTCTTTTCCTTCATTTAACCATATTCATTTCTGATGCTTGCAATCAAAGAAACCAAACTATAAAGGCAGAGTTTCTGCCTTTAAAAGGCTTACAGTCTAGTAAGCATATAACAAGTCTTCCTATCAGAATACTT